>NC_000006.12:92605770-92756709 GCF_000001405.40 Homo sapiens | reverse complement strand
TGAACATTCAGGGATGTTAGAATAAAATTAGTAACTAAAATGGGAGTAGGTTCAGTTTACATATACCTTTGCCGGGCTCTTTTCAACACACATTCATTATGTGTCCAAATCTTCTGATGCATGTAGACATGACCTTTGACTCCTCATAATTAAAAAATGTATATGTCTTGCTTAAATATATCTAAATGCCTTTTTCAATTATTTTGGTTGCAATAATTTAAATTTAAACTCTATTATAAAATGCAGTAGTGAGCTCACTAAATTCTTATTTCATGAAGACAGTATAAACAAACTATTTTTTTCTCCTTCATAAAGATTATTTCAACATCAGCATTTCCATAAGAAGTCACAAAACATGATGTGTATTACTCCAAATCTAGAGGCTTCGCTGTGTTTGCCATCCACTCTCTTTCCCCATATTTTCCTCCAGCAGAAACAACAACAGAAATGCCTACTGGCACCGGGAATCCTCCACTCAGCCATTGGCAATCAGGTCCTGCAAAAAATGGGGACATTAAACAGAAACTGCCAAATGTCAGTATCTAAGCTATGCAGATAATTTCCACCTAGTGAAGACTAAATTTTTTAGAATGGCAGTTACCATTCCATGTCCTCTTATCTTCAGTCTTTATTTCCCTATTCCTCTCCCAAAGTGTTCTTTCATAGCTTGAGTACGATTTGTAAATATTGCATGATATTTGATTCCATCTGAAGTACTTGAGAACAAAAGTTTGAATGAGATCCTGAGGGCCTAGATTTTTTTTTTTAATAGCCACAGTAAAACAATAATAGAGCCATTCTGCCACCTTAGGAAACAGCTTGAAGGAAAAAGGACTAGGAAGATGATTTTACTGGTTATATAACAGGGCCATAAGGAATGATAACTTCATAAATTATTCTGTGAGTATTGCTAAAATTCTTCAGAGTTAGACATTTTAGTGAGTCTATACAGTTACCTAGACAAAGGAACATGCAAGTTGAGGCAAATACCTGAATATTTTAGGTCTTTTGGAAACTTATGCTGTAATCTCATTGTATATGCATGAAACCTGTAAAGAAAAATTTCTGTATAAAAGATTAACTCTCCCTTTTGCTTGGTTTATATACAAGGTATAAGAATGCCTTGGGCATATTAACTTTAGCCAAAAATAGCAACTAGGCATTAAATAGTATCCAAAAATGCCCTAAAAATCATTGTTGGGCAAAATAATTTTATTTTTGATTCATTTACATTTAAAAATAATGGTCATCGGTTGCTTGATGTAATTTAATATGTATCTGTATGCAAGATAGTGCCTTTTAAATTATTTTTAAAATATAAATAATACTATTTAACACAATTAAAAATCTCGATTCAAGTAGTTTTCAAAAGGATTCACTTTAGCCTTGGATATCTTCTATATAGCCTAGGGGAAGTGGACATATTCCAAATCTGTTGATCTTTTTCTCTAATTTGATTGTGTGTATATATATTAAATATATATATTTATTAATTTATTTTTCCCTCTATGAAGATTCCAGAAGTATAATTTGATTGTTTAAATTTGCAGGAAAGATAAATGGTATCTCTTTGAATGGATAAAATATTTAAACAGAATAGCTGTCTGTTATTGAAAAATTACTGCATTCCTATCAATAAGCTGCTCTGATACGCTAAGAGACTGCTTGTTGTCAGTGTATTTTAATTAGAGTGTACTATATGAAGCCACAAAAAGCCCCTTCGTAAAAACACACAGAATGTCAGCAAGATAGCCAACTTGAAGCCCTTGGCACTGTCCCCATCACAAAGACAACCAGAACAAATAAACTACATTTCAATGACAACAACTGAGAGAGTGCTGGAGTGAATCAGAGGAATACCAGAAACCCTGATGAGCACAGAAACTTGGGATGATCATATACACAATGGACGGAAATGTGAGGCTTTTATCATCCCAGCTCCCAGCTGGGATCAACTGGGAACCAGGAGGAACTTCTCCAGGTAAGCAAGAGTACCCCAGCAACCTCCATCAACCCCTTGGACACCTACAAACCTCACCACTGGGGCCGCTTGCAGTCTTCGCTGGCATTAAGTCCAGCTGAGGGAGTTACCTGGGGTCCACATGGCTGTGCTCCCTCCAAGAAGGAGCCAACACTGTGTCCTACCCCTGTGGCCCATGTCCTATTGCACTATGCCATCTTGGAAGTGACACTATGGTCGGAGTGTGTAGCCATGACTTTCCTTCATCCAAGTGCTAAGCTGCCACTGAACCTCAACAGACTTGTGGCCTGACATCCCCAAGCTGAGCTGTGATCAGCTGTTACAGCCTTCTCCATGGGGCCAATTAGAGGTGGAGCCCCTTCACCTACCCCTTGCCTTTCCCCACTTAGGCCACGGCTGAAGTAGTACCTTGCCCCATGGGAAAATAATACTTTGGCCACTCAAAGCAGTCATACTACCCTAGCGCAAAAGTTGAAGCAGCACCCTGCATTCCAAAAAACAGTGCCTTGCCTACTCCGAATGATTGCACACCCAGAATAAGCGGAACTGTTGCCAAACATTCCAGGAAAATGATGCCTGTACTTCACAGAAAAGTCATGCCCCACAGGCTTGAGTAAAAGTGGCTCATTGACCCTTAGGGAACAGGTGACCAGGCCAAACTGAGCAGCTGGCTACTCCATTATGTGCTGACATAATGCCCTGCATCCCTGGGAAACAGAGCATTGGTTGAGCTGAGATATGTCATGCTACAGGCCAAACACCTCTATTGTTTGCTTTATTGGAGGTGGACCAGCCTCTTAGAGTCTGAGCTGCTAAGAGACCCCACTCCCCAGGTAGTGGAGTCACAGTGAGCTGTTCTCTGATCTTCCAGGGTGCAAACAACAGTTGTTCTCTGCCAACCTGGATTACTTGCTGCCATTGAATTTGGCTTTACAGAGGATGAAATACTGCTGAGCCCCACCATATCAGGATCTAGAGTCACTGAAACACAGTGCTTCAGCCCCTAGAACCTGAATTGCCAGTGAACCCTATTGGATCAGGTTCAGGAATTGCAGCCATATCTAGGTCCCCAGGCCCAAACTTCCAGAGTACCCTTTCTTCCTTGAAGTCAGGCCAGTGCTGTTCTTTTGCCCTCAAGAGTACGTTCAGAGCTACAACCTACTCCCTGGTTGCTAGAGGATCCCTCAGAGTCACAGATCTTAGTTTTCGGGCAATCTACATTGCACCCTGCGCACAGAGAATTAACCTGTACCCCAAGACCCAGGCGCCATAATAGGCTCGTGAGAGTTTAAGCCTAGAAGCTTGGCCCCACAGCTGCTGTCAGAACCTGCACCTGGAATTCAGCACTGCTGTAGCTGCTTACAGATTGTGTCAGACCTGACACTAAGAAGGACCACTTGGATAAGTCTTCTAATTGTGGAGAAAATGAGAATAGTAGGCCCCTAAAAGCCCTTGATACCTAGGACATTAACAGCTTATGTTGCCACTGCAACTGCCACAAACTTCAACAGCCTAAGCCAATGAAGCACCTAAAATGATTACTGACAGATAAACACAGCTGAAGAAGCTATACAGAGACTGTACCACTGCATCTATCCAGAAGAGTCATTGCACCTTTCCCAACCACCACGTAAAACCCAACTGCAGGTGAAAGTTGTTTCATGCAAAAGCTACTATAGAAAGCTTGGAAGTGGTGATTGTTTCACCAGATACACAGACAGCAACACAGAGACACAAGCAAGATGAAAGAACAAGGAAATGTGACAACATTAAAGGAACATAATAGCTCTCTAGTAACAGACCCCAATGAAAAAGAAATCAATGAAGTGTCAGAAAAATAATTCAAAATAATGATCTTGAGGAAACTAAATGTGATACAAGAAAATACAGATAGGTAATATAACAAAACAGGACAACAATGATATGAATGAGAAATTCATCAAAGAGAAATAATAAAGAACCCAGAAATCCTGCTGCTGAGAAACTCAATGAATGACATAAAAACAAAATAGAGACCCTCAACAGCAGACTTGATCAAGCAGAAAAAAGAATCTTGACCTTGAAGATGGGTTGTTGGAAATTAGAGAAAAAATGGGCATGAGAATGAAAAAGAGTGAAGAAAGCCTACAAGACTTCAGGGATACCGTTAAGCAAATAAATATTCACATTATGCAAATTTTAGAAGGAGAAGAGAATACATAGAAAACCTATTTAATGAAATAAAAGCTGAAAATTTCTCAAGTCTGAGGAAGGTTATAGACATCTAGATCCACAAACTGCAAAGGTTCTCAAATAGAATCAACTCCAAATGTCCTCCCTAAGGCATATTATAGTCAAATTGTGAAAAGACAAAGACAAAGAGAGAATCCTGAAAGCAGCAAAAGTGTGAAGTCACATATAAGGGCATCCCTATTAGACTAACACCAGATATTTATGCAGAAACCTATAAGCCAGCAGAAAATGTCTACATTTAGATTGTCAAAAGAAAAAAAGAAAAACCCAGAATACTATGTCCATCAGAAATACCCTTCAGAACTAAGAGAGAAATTAAATCTTACCCAGACAATAAAAACAGAGGGAATTCACCACTAACTCAGACTTACAGAAAATATTCAAGGGATTCCTCTGTCTGAAGGTGAAAAGGCAGTAATTATTATCATGAACACTTGCAAAACAGAAAACTTAAAAGTAGAGCAGATACACAAAAAAGAAAGAAAAAATAATTAAACCTTATCACTACAAAACACCACTCAGTTACTCAATGATAAACAATAATAGAGGAAAATAGGAACAAATGTTACATAAAAGAACCAGAAAACAATTAAAAAATGATAGTAGTAAGTCCTCATATATAAATAATAATCTTGAATGTAAATAAATATATTAAATTCCCCACTTAAAAGGTATAGGCTAGTGGAATGAGTGAAAACATTAACTCAACTATATGTATATGCTGCCTACAGAAAACTTATTTCATCTGTAAAGACACGTATAGATTGAAAGTGAAGGGATGATGAAAGATATTCCATGCAAACAGAAAACAAAACAAGCAGGAGTATCTATGTGTATATCAGATAAAACAGACTTTAAGAACTGTAATAAGAGAAAAAGAAGGGCATTATATAGTGAAAAATTAATTATGTAAGAATATATAATAATTGTAAATATATATTCACCCAATACTGGAGCACTCAGATACATAAAGTAAATATTAGTAGATTTAAAGGAAGAGATAATCTTCAATACAAATATAGTTGGGGACATCGACACTCTATTTTCTTCACTGGACAAATCATTCAACAAAAAAAATTATATTTAAACTGGGTTTTAAACCAAATAGACCAAACAGACATTTACAGCATATTATCTCAAACTCTTTTCATCAACACCTAAAGCATTCTTTAGAACAGACCATGTGTTAGCCACAAAAAAAGTCTCAACAAACTTAAAAAAATCATATCAGGTATGATTTGTGACCACAATGAAATAAAACTATAAATCAATAGCAGAAAAAACCTTGAAAACTGTACAAATACATGGAAATTAAACAATATGCTTCTGGATGACCAAAGCATCAAAAAAAATTAAGAACAAAACTAAAATATTTCTTCAAACAAATGAAAATAGAAACACAACATATCAAAAACTGTGGGATACAGAAAGAGCAGTTTAATGTTAGAAGTTTATATTAAATAGCAACAAACACTTAGAACAAAAAGTAGAAAGATTCCAAATAAACAAGCTAATGATCTACCACAAGAGACTAGAAAAGCAAAGATATAACAAACCCAAAATTAATAGAAGAAAATAAATAATAAAAATTGGAGCAGAAAAAAAAGATTGAGACTAAAAATAATTTAAAAGATCAACAAAACAAAAAATTAGTTTTTGAAAAGATAAAATTTACTCACAATTAGCTAGACAAATTAAGAATTAAAAAGACGCAAATAAATAAAATTAGAAACAAAAAAGGAGACATTACAACTGATACTACATAAATAAAAAGGTTCATTAGAGACTATTTCAAACAACTATAAGCCAACAAATTAGAAAACCTAGTGAAACATGTATAAATTACTGAACAAATAAAACATAATAAAATGGAACCAAGAATAAACAGAAAACCTAAACAGACCAACTACTAAGGATGAGATTGAATGTATAATAAAAAGTCTTCCATCAGAGAAAAACTCAGGACCCACTGGCTTCACTGCTGAATTCTACCAGACATTAAAAAAACCAGTTCTTCTCAAACTCTTCCAGAAAATTGAAGGAAATGGAAATCTTCCAAACTCATTCTGAGGTCAACATTACCCTGATACTGAAATCAGACAAGCACACAACAACAATAAAAGTCACCAACAGCCAATATCCTTAATGAATATGAATGCAAAAATCCTCAACAAAATACTATCAAAACAAATCTAGCAGCACAGTAAAAATATCATTTAACATGATCATGGGGGATTTTTCAAGGGATGCAAGAATGGCTAACCAGACATAAATCAGTAAAGACAATACATTGCATCAAGAGAATGAAGCATGGAATCTATATAATCATGTCAATAGATGCAGAAAAAGCATTTGGTATATTCAACATATCTTTATGATGAAAACTTTCAGCAAGTTAGGTATAGAAGAAATGCACCTCAAAAAAAAGTGGCCACATATGAAAAAATAAATAAAACCCACAGCCAATATTACACTGAATAAGAAAAAGTTGAAAGATTTTCCCTAAGATTTGCACAAAACAAGGATGCCATGTTCACCATTTCTATTCAGCATAGTATTAGAAGTCCTAACCAGAGAAGTTAGGTAAGACAAAGAAATAAAGGACAATCAACTTGGAAAGAAAGGAGTCAAATTGTCTCTGTTTTCAGATGACATGACCTTATATACGAAAAGTCCTAAAAACTTCAGCAATAAACACTTAGAATTGATAAGCCAATTTAGTGAAATTTTAGGAAACAAAATCAATATATAAAAATCAGTAGTGTTTCTATACATTGATAGAAAACCAGAAGAAAAAGAAATCAAGAAAGTAATTTCATTTATAATAGCTACAAAAAGTACCTAGAAATAAATTAAATAAAGAAGCTGAAATATCTGTAAAAGGAAAACTGTAAAACACTGAAAAAATAATTTTAAGAGGTTACAGGAAAATGGAAAGGTATTCCATTTTTACGAATTTTAAAATTACTATTTTAAAAATGACTATACTAGCAAATGCAATCTACAGATATAAATGCAAGCCCTATCAAAATACAAATGACATTCTTCACATAAAAAATGTCTAAAATTTGTGTAAAACTACAAAAGACCCTGAGTAGTTAAAGGAATTCTGACTAAAAGCAACAAAGCTGGAGGAGTCACACTACTGGATTTCAAAACATACTATAAAGCTCTAGCAACCAAAACAGCATAGTATTCCATCAAAAGAGACACACAGACAGTGGAATTGCTTTACATATGAGGCACATAATACCATTAGATTGAGAGCCCAGAAATAAATTCATGTATTTATAGCTAACTGATTTTCGACAGAGTCACCAAGAACATTTATTGGAGAAAGAACAGTCTTCTTAATAAATGGTACCGGAAAAATTGAATATTCATATACAGAAAGAAGAAACTAGATTACTCTCTCTCACTATATACAAAAATTAACTCAAAGTGGCTTAAAGACTTAAATGTAAGACCTGAAACTATAAAACTACTTAGGAGAGTATGTAGGAGAAATGCTTCAGGACATGGGTCTGGACAAAAATTTAATCACTAAGACCTCAAAAGCACAGCCAACAAAAGCAAAAGTAGACAAATGGAATTATATCAAACTATAAAGTTTCTGCACAGCAAATAAAACAATCAACAGAGTGAAAAGACAACATGCATAATGGGAGAAAATATTTGCAAATTGTGTATCTGACAAGGGGTTAATAGCCAGAAAATACAAGGAACTCAAATGAATCAACAATAAAAATCCTAAATAATCTGATTTAAAAAATGGGCAAATGAGCTGAATAGATACTTCCTTTCTATAATACTTGAAAACCTCAGCTGTTAAGTAATCACTCAATGTGGATGCTAAAAGACCATTGGGAAAACTCAGAACTTTATTTCCAGCTTTCTAAATGTGATCCCTTAAACAGCAAAATAGAAAAATAGGTCCTCTCTAGCTTGAATAGATAGAAATATTAATAAGAAATTATCAAATATGACTTTTGCTAAAACATATAGAATTGGAAAATTTTATCTATGGCCATATCTCTAATTCGTAGGTGTATTAGCAAATGAAGCCAACTGACTTTCTGTAACTAAATAATTCATGACATTGCATTCTTCCCAGGGACAAATAATTTATTTCATTATTGTGTTGTCTTAGTATGATGCCTAGGCATGTTGGAATTGTGGTCTGTGACTAATGGAATTCTAGTTCAAGAGCAAGGATTTCAGTTCCTCTGAATTCCTTTAAGAACACTTTCTCTGTTATTGAAAATACTTGGAAACTATAGATAAAATATATAGAAGGTATTTAAAAATGTACAGCTGTCAAAAATAAATAGAGAATGAAGTACACTAAAGAAAGGAGCACCATCATTAGTAATCTGGGGCTAAAGTCACATGACCAGTGAAATGCTATAAATAGGATCCAATGACAGAGAAGATAGAGCTCGGTTTCTGGAGTGGAATAAGAGCAAGAGCCCTCTGCAGAAAAGCTAATATTTGGAAAAAAATAATTCCTCTGTAGATGATGGATGAAATAGCTTATTCTCTTTGCCTGCTATTGTAGGTAGGAAAAAACCTCATCTTGCCCAAATCTACCAGCTGAGACTTAAGAGCCCAGCAGAAACTCAAGCACATCCACTAATAGCAAGCCTATTTCAGAGGCAAGCTGCTTGCAGGGGTGGGAGGGTGTGGAAGTAAGCAGTCTTTTAGTGGTGCAATGGTGTCAGAAAGAGGAGTACACAAATAAGAAAACACCCACCAAAAAAAAATTCTTAAGGACAAATTATAAAACACACAAAGAAACTTTAATATCTGTTAGCAGCATTTAAAAAGCACTCAGAAGACTCAGTAAACAGGCATTGTCAGACACAAGAAAATAAAGACTCCAGAACAATACAAATACAATTTTAAAAATAAAAGAATGCATTCTGAATTTTTCAAGAAATCAAGAAAAATTAGCATTCAAGAAACAAAATAAAGACAATATAAACAGTAATAGGCAGATATAAAAATAAACCAGCTCTAAATTTAGAAACTAAAAATAGTCAATGAAATAAAAAATCTAATAGACACAGAAAATACTACTATTGATTCAGTCACTTAATAAATTGTGAAATAATTATAAGAAAATCTATGAGAATGCAACATAGAGAGATAAGAGATGAAATAGAGCAGAAGTTAAAAATCATAGAGAATAGAAGGAAAAATGCTCTGGAGTTTTGAAAAAAGAAAAAGAAAAAAACATGAAGGAGCTGGATGATCAAAAGCTAGTTGCTATGAATGTTTCTAGAATATAAGAGACTGAACTTACATTGAAGTAGACCTACTGTGTCCCAGGGGAGAGTAAGAATAAATTCATTTATTGGTGAAAAAGATATAAAAAATGAAAACTACTAGAAAAGAAAAACAAACTGCTTGAAGCAAATGGAAATTAGATGTATAAAAGCCTTGTCATCAGCAACATAAGCCAGTAGAAGACTGGAGAGATGTATTCAAAATTCTGGAGTTCATGTAAGATAACCTAGAAATCTACATCTAAAGAATATCTGATTCAGACATGAAATTCTAGGGATTTTCCAATTAAAATCAAACACATGAATTGTAATGATGAGTGCAATCATCATTATAATTCTAAATGGTATCTTTATCCTTTACATTTTGCAATCTTTCTCTGTAAAAGTACAGCTAGTAAATATTTTAGACATCATGAACCATACAGTCTTTGTTGCAACTACTCAAAATTGCTATTGTAGCACTAAAGAAGCCATAGGCTATATGTAAATAAATGAGCATGGCTGTGTTCCAATAAAACCTTATTTATAAAAATAAGTGGAGAGCTGGATTTAGCCAGTTTGCTAATTTGGTTCAAAGATAATAACCAAGTGCAAATGATAATGGGGAAATCCTCACTACAGCAAAAAAAAAAAAAAAATTAAAATATCCTAGATTAAATGTGAAATATCTAGGATCTCTATATAGAAAAATGACAAAATTTAGCTAAGAAACTTAAGAGAGTTAAACATATACACAGATATACAACATTACTGTATGTGAAGACTCAGAATCCACTCATTTTATCTCCCTATTCATCAATATATCTCCCTATCAAATAAAAAATTGCAGGCTTACTAAGATTTAGGCAGTCTGGAATATGAGAATAGACAAGGCTTCTCTTCTCACACAACTTATTATATTGTGTCCAAAACATATTTGGTCCTATTTGTTATACGAGATTACAAAATTACAGATGTGATAAGAGCTTTACATATGAGGTACGTAATACCATTAGATTGTATACTGGAGGAAGTTTGCTTAGTAGGTGAGATCGAGGACTTCTTCTTTGATGAAATGACTACCAAGCCAATAATAAAAAGTAAGTACATATTTACTATTGGAAGAAGGAACTGACGAGTTTGTTTCCTGGAGTGTAAAATTCTTACAGAAAGAAGGAAAATGGTAAATATAAGAGTTTGAGGGCAGCAAATGTGTGGCAGAGAAGGAGGAAAAAAAAGATTGAGATTAAATCTTAGGGTCAATCTGAGAGATAGGTTGGGGGAAAACCATTACAGAGTATGAAGGACATGCATGGATTTTTCTCTTAAGGACAATGCAAAGCCATCAAAGATATTCAGCAGGGAGTGGACATGTTTGGATTTGTGTTTTAAAAATATCATACTAAAAGAAAAATAATTCTGGCTTCTTTGTGAAGAACAAAATGGACATGACCATAAAAGATGTAGGAAGAGGAATTAGGAAGAAATTACAGTAGAGTGAATAAGAGAGAATAGTAATGGATTGGGAGAAATAAAGAGAAGTGGTCCGAGGTTATTGATTGTTGGATTAGCGTAGAATTTTATGTTTAAAAATAATATTATTTTGGATTTTCAATTATGTGTCACTATCAACCTATAATATTCAATTTTGCTATTGAGAAGTTATTCACATTCCTTTGAATTTAACTTTGATAGTTTTAGATATTCTCTTAATTATAATGTTTGAAACAAGATAATGTGCTTTAAGGGTGTATATTTGCATATGTGTATGTGTGTGTGTGTGTTTCATTCATTATACTCAGCATTTGATGGACATTTTCAATCTGGAAACTTATGTGCCTTTGAGTTATAGAAAATGGTCTCTGCTGATTAATCACTTCACCATCACTATTTTTCAAAGATAATTAAAATCTATTGTCTGCTGGTATCTTCTCTTTTTTTCTCTTTGTTTTCAGGTATTTATGCCTTTAATATTTTTAATATTCCTTTTAGTGAGGCTTAGAGAAGAAAGGCATTAACAGCATGTGGACAATTCAACATGCTTAATAGCAATTCTCATGATATTGATTTTACCACTTTTTGCTTCTTGCCAGTATTGCGTCCAGCAATTATGAAGAGACATGACTATTTTGTTTTATAAGACATTATTCTTTTCAGGATAAGATTTTAAAAAGCTATACGCAAAATCTCGTTAGAACTCTATTAAAACAGAACAATGAAATTGCAAGATTTAAAAGAAGCACAAAAAGGAGAAAATTTATAATTTATCAGGGATTGACTTACCTTCTTCTACTAAATACTCCTCTCTTACCAACAATTGGCTTCCTGCACATAGTAGAAAACATGACAACTGAAAGTGCCAACATTTTATATCTTATGACTATCATCTGGAAAAAAGATGCATCTATTATTCTTTTTGGACCAAAGTTCAAAAATCCAAGGAAGAATGTTATTGACTCATAAGATCAGATGACCCCTCCAAAGCAATCAGTGTTTTGTGGGTCAAAGCCATGTAACAGTGCTGAAGTTTGGAGTGGAAAAAAGAAGCAGTGCTTCCATAAAGGAGATGCTGCTTCTAAAAAAGGCAGGCAGATGCTAAGTAGATGAAACTAGAGAGTAGTTCTAAGGCAACTGATAAAATGACAGCTTTAATAGAAATATTTATCTCACATACACTTCTACTATAATTAAAGAAGACCAGCAATGCCATGAATACCAAAGTATTGTTTTAATTTATCAATCAGAACATTCTTTGTGAATTTTTCACTTCAATGGAACTTATTTATAAATTCTCATTTACAAATATTCTTAGTGATGTAAGACGAGATGGTAAAAGTTTACTGGTACATTCAGAGAATGTTAAGTTATTTTGTTCTTTTCCTAAAATATACTGCTTTGTGTATCTGCTTTTTAAAACATTATCTGCTTGTTTTCTTCCAAAAATCTGCCATTATTTTACGCTTTTAATGACTCTTTTATGGGATATTTTCAAGTTTTAGTTAAATACAGGATAAGAAGTTAGAGAAAAAACTTAGAATAATGTTTTAAATAAAAGTAGTTAATTTCTGAATACAAGGCACATGGTCCTGTTATGAAATGTTATGACAGATTTTTGCACCTCAAATGCTTTTTTAAGAAAGGGCTGTATTAGTCTGTTTTCACACTGCTATAAAGAACTACCTGAGACTGAGTAATTAATAAAGAAAAGGTTTAATTGAGTCAGAGTTCTGCATGGCTAGTGAGGCTTCAGGAAACTTAAAATCATGGTGGAAGTTCGAGGGGAAGCAAGGCATGTTTTATGTGGCAGCAGAAGGGGGGGAGAGAGAGAGAGAGAGAGAGAGAGAGAGAGAAGCGAGAAGTGCCACACTTTTAAACCATCAGATCTCTTGAGAACACAAGAACAGCAAGGGGGGAAGGCTACCCTTATGATCCAATAACCTCCCACCCAGCCCCTGCTCCAACACATGGAGATTACAGTTTGAAGTGGGATTTGGGTGGGGACACAGAGCCAAACTATATCAAGGGCTGTTGTTTCTGTAGAGTTTCTGGTTCTATTGACATTACATGCTAGAAAGGTAATGTGTGCCAATTCTATAATGTCAGAGAATTTATCTCTATGAAGGATAACTTACTATACAATTTTATTTTAATATTTGGATAAAATAGTAAAACCTGATTATGAATTTCATTTTTTAATTTGTTATTACTTTGTTGTTACTTTTTTTCATTGAAACATCATTTGTGATGATTTTGGACATCATTCAGTACTTTTCCTTAAATTAAACAATAATTTGGTATCCACTGAAAAATGAATGTTTACTTCAACTTGGTTTTGGAAGTAAGGGTCAAGGAGGTAGTTGTCAGGGTATAATAGACTTGTCATGTTGATTGATGCAAAATGATATGTGATTGAATTTCCGGGGTCATAAATTGCTTAGTAGTGATTAGGATGCCAATTGGGCAGCAATAGCAAAGTAATATGTGCTCATGTTCATCTAAAACTGGCCTATGCTCTTTCTTGTTGGCCTTTAAATACATTTGCATTCCCTAGAAAATGTTTAAATGTATTCTTAAATAATAAATTATTTCTAAAAGAATAAATCTTCAGTTACTGTTACATTTTTATCATCAAGCTTCTATAAATGCAGATTTTACCATTTTACTTGTATGATATTGAGCATTTCATTACACACTTTTCTGAGCTGAGAATCCTCATAAATACCTCTTTTCTAATGATAATAATGACACTAATTAAAACAACAGCATATATAAAGGACCTACAATAGGCCAAGTATGTAGAGTGTATTCAATAAATAATTCATTGTAATTTTATTATTACCATTTTCATTTTAAAATTAATTTATAAATAATTACACATTTGTCTTTTATTTTCAGGAATGAGCCAAACTAGAGGCTGTCACTAAAACCTGTCCTTGAAAAATCTAAAAATACTGACCAAAGTTATAATATCTTTAGATGCATCAACAAGCTGACTAGAAATCAAAGAATATTGAGAAGCAAAAATGTAAATGAATTTAGAATCCTGAAGTTGTAAGCTGACTCAAAATCTGTTTTTTTTAATTTGTTTTTTTGTTTTGTTTTGTTTTGTTTTTGTTTTTTTGCGGGGGGTTAGGAGTAGAACAGATGAACCTGAGCTTTTATTTTTCTGGTCATATATAGAAAATGGGGTATAGAATATGAAGTCCAGAGCTGGTCAAAGTTATGGAGTCTAACTGAAAATTTTCTTGTATAAGACAGAGCCAAAATAGCATGATCCTCAACATAAGAATGAATTCAAACCAAACTTATGCCCCGAAAACATCTGAAAGAAAACTGCCTATTAAAAACCTTAGCAAAGAGCTGAAACAAGAATAGATTTTCTTCATGAATACCATAGCTCAAATTGCCTTAATATTACCTTCAAGCCTCTATTCATACAATGCCAGATTTCAAATTTGTTCATTTTTTTTTTTTTGATATGCACTTTCACTCTGTCACCCAGGATGGAGTGCAGTGGTACCATCTCGGCTCACTGCAACCTCCCCCCACCACGTTCAAGTGATTCTCCTGCTTCAACCTCTCAAGTAGGCACCCACCACAATGCCTGGTTAATTTTTGTATTTTTAGTTGAGATGGGGTTTCAAATGTTGGCCAGGCTGATCTCGAACTCCTGACTTAAGGTGAGCCATCTTCCTCGGCCTCTCAAAGTGCTGGGATTACAGGCATGAGCCACCGTGGTTGGCCCAAATCTATTAATTTAGTTTAAAGCTAGTTGTTTCTACTGACTTATGCTGCCAGTGTACTTGCAGAAGCAAACGCAAATTTTCCATGCTGAAGTCTGCCTTCAAAAATATTCAAGTTAATTTAACTAATGGTGTTATGAGAATTATAAACTCATAGTAAAAAAAAGAAATCACAAAATACACAAGGAAAGAAGGTTCCATGAACTCCAGCCAGTAGAATAAAGCAGAGAGATTACTTAGAAGTAACACTTAATATTAGAATGAGCAGATACAGAATATCTTGGATATTTTAATATCTTGAATTAGTTGGTTTAAGGAAATACACTGAAAGTATGAGTAAAAACACAAAATGTTGTAAAATAATGAAGTAGGTTTGAAGAAAAATGACCCAGAATTATTTCATTTTATTTATTTTTAATTTCTATTTTTTAACCTTTTTTTTTTTTTAAATTGTAGAGACAAGGTCTCACTAGGTTGCCCAGGCTGATCTTGAACTCCTGGCCTCAAGTAATTCTCCTGCCTTAGCTTCAGAATTCGACTAATAATATACAATCATTGAAATAAAAACATTTAATTAATTCAGAACTATACATTGCATTATTGAATGAAAAGATCTGAAGAAATTTTTCTGAATGTAGTAGGGACAGTATGATAAATATGAAAGAATTATTAAAAGTTACAAAAGATAGATTGAAAGGTCTAGCTTATATATAATTAGAATACTAGGATCACAGGAGAGGGAAAATGGGTCAGATATGATATCTGAGCAAATAATGGGCTATAATTATGAAGAAATTCATGAATTTTTCCCATAAATATTTACTCAGTGTCTACTATCATACTGGGTATGTACTAGTGAATAAAATGGATATAAATCTTTCTGTGCTATCTTGGAATTTATATTCTAGTCATCAATAGAAAATAGAAGCCAATGGGCAAATGATTTCCTCTTCCTTTTCCTGCCGGATGATCCTGAGGTGCACTTCACAACGCCTGTTTTATGGCCTGTTGCTATAGCCAAATTGACAATTCATCTTTTTTTATCCTGCTTCACTTGCTCTGTCAATCCTCCTCTCTTGAATCACATTTCCATATAAACTACTCATATATATAACTTAATCTGAGGCTCTGCTTTTGGGGAAATCAAGACTGAGATAGTGTACATCAGAAATAATCCTAAAAAAAGACCCTCAAGATAAGATCAGAACTGGATTATTTAAAAATTAAATGGCAATAAGGACCCAAGCTAATAAGTGGGCTAATAGTTACTCTTTGCAAGCAGTGGCATCACCATTATTAAAATTCTTACCTGTGGTAGATTGGGTCAAGGGGCAAGTGGATAGTGAACCATTGGGCTATGTGATGCCTGTGTCATTCAAACTGAATATAAATGACGATAAATATAAAGATTGTGCTATGTGATGGTTTTTTATTAATTGTATTGTCAGTTTGAAAAAAAAACTGTTTACTTTTTCCACAAGATGTTACATGATACCAAGTGATTGGATTGCCCGCAGGAACCCATTGGCCACCCTGCATATGCAACATGGATGTACAAAGAGGGCATTTAATTCCAGCGGAGCAACTCTTGACCAATGAGGATAGGAGCTGATGGCTAATTGTGTTCTTTATTCTTCCAAGTAGATGGCTCTGAGGCATATTGTGTAAGGCTTGTCATGCAGTTGACAGCAAAGTCACCCCTATAGTGATCAACTCAGTAATGGATCTTTCTTTCTTCCTTTTTTGCTTCCCCTCAATCTTTATTCTTGGTATTCCAAATGAGCTACTTCAGAATAAGTCTATGTTTCAGGCTCTATTTTGGGAGAACCCAGGCACAGATACTAGATTAATTATATTGTTGATGTCATTTAAAAATTATATTTTAACTTTTTCCTGTCTATATATCTATAACTTACCCTACATACTGATTTTCTTCTGGGAATATTGTTTGGCTTTTAAAATAAATACTTTAATAATTTATAAATTAAAAATGTATATGGTAACAATAATATAAATTTTGACAACTGTGACAATAACATTTATTTCTAACAATGAAAATTTTAAATAAAACATTTTATAAAATATTTTGTAGATAATTTAAAACATTGTTAAAAATATAGAAAAATATATAAATCAATGGAAATTCACATCATGTTATAGTTAGGCTTTGGGTCCTTACCCAAATCTCATCTTAAATTGTAATCGTCATAATCCCATTAATTCCCATGTGTCCAGGGAGAGAAAAGGGGGAGGTAATTGAATTATCGGGGAAGTTTCCCCCATGCTAGTCTCATGATAATGAGTGAGTTCTCATGAGATCTGATGGTTTTATAAGGGACTCTCCCCCCTTTGCTTGGCACTTCTCATCTTGCCACCTTGTGAAGAAGGTACCTTGATTCCCCTTCACTTTCTGCCATGATTGTAAGTTTCCTGAGACCTCTCAAGCTATGAGGAACTGTCAATCAATTAAACCTCTTTTCTTTATAAATTACCCAGTCTTGGGCAGTTATTTATAACAGTATAAAAATGGACTAATGAGAGCATGTTCACATATAAACATGAAGGTGACAACTCTCAACACTGATATATAGTAATGAAATTCTGATCAAAATCACAGCAAGCATGTTTTTAGTGGAATTTGAAAAGCTGGTTTTAAAATTTACATGACATTCCAAACGCTGTCAAGACACTCTTGAAAACTAAATACAAAGAAAGAGAACTGACCATGCCAGATTATCAGACCTGTTATAGCAATTAAGAGAGTATGATGTTATTGCAGGTATGCACAAATAGTGCAGTGCAATAGGAGAGAGTTCAAAATAAAAGTCATACTTATGTGAAAATTTGATTTATCATAATATTAATATTGCAAATTGTATTAGTCTGTTCTCATGCTGCTTTAAAGACATATCTGAGATTGGGAAATTTATAAAGAAAAGAGGTTTAATTAACTCACAGTTCCACAGAGATAGGGGAGCCTCAGGAAACTTACAATCACGATCAAAAGGGAAGCAAACACATCCTTCTTTCTGTGGTAGAAACAAGGAGAAGTTCTGAGCAAAACGGGGGGATAACACCTTGTAAAACCATTAGATCTCATGAGAACTCACTATCATGAGAATAGCATGGAGGTAACTGCCCTCATGATTCAATTACTTCCCACTGGGTCCTTTCCACAACATGTGGGAATTATGAGAACTATAATTCAGGATAAGCTTTAGGTGGGGACACAGACAAATCATATCATTCCATCCGTGGCCCCTCTCAAGTCTCATGTCCTCACATTTCAAAACACAATCATCGCCCTTCCAACAGAGCTCAAAGTCTTAACTCATTCCAGTATTAACTCAAAAGTCCAAGTCCAAAGTCTCGTCTGAGATAAGTCAAGCCCCTTCTGCCTATGAACCTGTAAAATCAAAAGCAAGTTAGTGGCTTCCCAGATACAATGAGGGTACAGGCATTGGATAAATACACCCCACCCATTCCAAATAGGAGAAATTGGCAAAAATGAAGGGGCTACAGGCACTATGCAAGTCTGAAATCCAGCAGAGAAGTCAAACTTTAAAGCTCCAAATGATCTCCTTTGACTCCATGTCTCACATCCAGGTCATGCTGATGCAAGAGGTGGGCTCCCATGGCCTTTGGCAGCTCCTCCCCTGTGGCTTTGTAGGGTACAGCCCCTATTCCAGCTGCTTTCACAGGCTGGCATTGAGTGTCTGTGGCTTTTCCAGGCGCACGGTGCAAGCTGTGTGTAGATCTACCATTCTGGGTTCTGGAGGACAGTGACCCTCTTCTCACAGCTACGCTAGGCAGTGCCCCAGTGGGGACTCTGTGTGGGAGCTCCCACCTCACATTTCCCTTCCACACTGCCCTAGCAGAGGTTCTCCATGAGGGCCTCATCCTTGCAGCAAACTTCTGCCTGGACATCCAGGTATTCCCATACATCCTCTGAAATCTAGATGGAATTTCCTGAACTGCAATTCTTGACTTCTGTGCACCTGCAGGCCCAATACCACATGGAAACTGCCAAGGCATGGGGCTTGCACCCTCTGTAGCAATGGCCTGAGCTTGAGTTGTACGTTTACCCATTTTAGTCACAGCTGGAGCTGAAGCAGCTGGGACACAGGGCACTATGTCCTGAGGGTGCATAGAGCAGGGATGACCTGGCCCTGGCATACACAATCATATTTCCCTCCTAGGCCTCCAGGCCTGTGATGAGAGGAGCTGCTGTTCTCTGACATGATCTGGAGACATTTTCCCCATTGTCTTGGTGATTAACATTTAGCTTCTCATTACTTATGTACATTTCTGTAGCTGGCTTGAATTTCTCCCCAGAAAATGGGGTTTTCTGTTCTATCACATCATAAGGCTGCAAATTTTCAAAACTTTTATGCTCTGCTTTCTGTTGAATGTTTTGCTGCTTAAAAATTTCTTCCCCCAGATACCCTATATAATCTCTCTCAAGTTCAAAGTTCCACAGATGTCTAGGGCAGGGGCAAAGTGCCACCAGTCTCTTTGCATAGTAATAGTGACCTTTATTCCAGGTCCCAAAAAGTTCCTCATCTCCATCTGAGACCACCTCCACCTGTACTTCATTGTCCATATCACTATCAGCATTTTGGTCAAAACCATTCAAGAAGTCTCTAGGAAGTTCCAACCTTTCCCACATCTTCCTGTCTTCTTCTAAGCCCTCCAAACTGTTTCAATCTTTGCTTGTGACCCAGTTCCAAAGTTGCTTCCACATTTTCAGGTATCTTTGTAGCAGTGTACCATTACCCAGTACAAATTTACTGTATTAGCCTGTTCTCACACTGCTGCTATAAGGACATACCCAAGACTGGGTAATTTATAAAAGAAAGAGGTTTAATTAATTCGCAGTTCCACAAGGCTGGAAAGGCCTCAGAAAACTTACAATCATGGTGGAAGGGGAAGCAAATATATCCTTGTTCACACGGCAGCAGCAAGAAGTATCAGCAAAAGTGGGAGAAGGCTTCTAATAAAACCATTGGATCTCATGAGAACTTACTCATTATCATGAGAACAGCATGGAGGTAACTGCCCCTATGATTCAATTACCTCCCACTTGGTCTCTCCCATGACATGTGGGGATTATAGGAACTATATTTCAAGATGAGATTTGAGAGGGACATAGCCAACCATATCACAAATAAATAAAGCAAGCATGGAAAAGAAGGGTGGAAAAATTCAGGTTTTTCTGACCTTCTTGGTCAATGTTCATCCTTGGAGAAATGATTAATTACATGGGAATGCAAAAGAGATTATTACCTCATACCATACATAAAAATATATAAACAAGCAGATTAAAATTTATACAAGAGGAAAAACTTATAAAACTCTTAGAATATAATGTAAAATTTATGTCTCTAAGTAAGAATATATTTGCAAGACACAAAACACCATTGAAAAAAAATTGATAAAATGTACTTCATTAGCCTTAAGAAATTTTTTTCATCTGAAGAAACCATACAGCTAAATATAAAAAATAAACTGACAAGATGCTTGCAACCTATATAACTGACAAAGTATTAGCAAGTAGAGACCAGACATGGTGACTCATGGCTGTAATCCCAGGACTTTGTGAGGCCAAGGTGGGTGGATCACTTGAGATCAGAAGTTCAAGATCAGCCTGGCCACCATGGTAAACCTTCATCTCTATAAAAAATACAAAAAGTAGCCAAACGAGGTGGTCGGTGACTGTAATCCCAGCACTTGGGAGGCTGAGGCAGGGGAATCATTTGAACCCAGGAGGCAGGGGTTGCAGCAAGCCTAGATGGTGCTACTGCATTCCATCCTGGGTGTCAAAAAAATATGTATATATTAGCAGGTAGAGTCCTTACAAATCAATAAAAGTTAAACAACCTGGGAGAAAAAAACCTTTAGTCTTTTCACTCAAGATGAAACACAAATGATATATAAGCCTACAAAAATATATGCAATTTAATAATTAAGAATTAGGAATATGCAAAATAAGCCTGCAATTAGATATAATTTCACTACCACTAGATTTGCAAAAATATTACACTTGAATATATCAAATGTTGGAAAAAAGTAGAGCAATAACAAACTCTTACATGATACTCATAGGATGTAAAGTAGTACAAACACTTTGGAAAAGTAATAGAATATTACCTAATAAATGTGAAGATGGGAAAACCCTAAACCCAGCAGTTCCATTCCTAAATATATACCTAAGAAAACTTTCACACAAGAACAAGAAGACAAGAATAAAGTGTTCATAGCAAAACTTTTAATAGCAAAACAAAACTAAAAATACAAGTGGTCATCAGTAAAATGGAGAAATAACTATGGCATATTCACACAATAGGTCAGTATTCAATATAAAAAATATATTAATTGGGCAGGCGCGGTGGCTCACGCCTGTAATCCCAACACTTTGGGAGGCCGAGTCGGGTGGATCACCTGAGGTCAGGAGTTCAAGAGCAGCCTGACGAATGTGGAGAAACCCTGTCTCTATTAAAATTACGAAAAGTAGCTGGGCGTGATGGTGGGCACCTTTAATCCCAGCTACTCAGGAAGCTGAGGCAGGAGAATTGCTTGAACCCACGTGGCGGAGGCTTCAGTGAGCCAAGATCATGCCACTTCACTCCACCCTGGGCAACAAAGTGAGGCTCCATCTCTGTATATCTATATCTGTATCTATATCTATATCCGTATCTATATAAATCTCAACTACAAGAAACAACAGGGTGAAACTTTGTTTATAATGTTGAGCACAAAAGGGCTGTCACTGAATACTGTAAGAAGTGTGATTACATTTATATGAAGTAAAAAAACTATGCACAAGTAAATAGTGTATATTAATGAATACACAGATGGATGATATAACCCTAGGGAAAAGCACAAGAATGTTTCTCACAAAATTCAGAAATATGCATACTTAGAGGATTAAGATAAGAGTATCAGTATGGAGAGGGGCACAGAAGCCATATAAAAGGTAATGGTAATTTTTTTTTTCTTAAACTGGGTGATGGGTTGATGGCTTTTTGTGAAATTTTGTCATATTATCTACAGACACACACACACAAACACACTTAAATACTTTGTATCAACTTAGCATTCAGTAAATAATTTTTAAAAGAAAGAAGTTTATATTTGCATCTTTAAAATAATTATCTTAGAATCTCATTTTCTTTGCTCCATAATTTTTATCTTTCATGCAGAAATTGCTCCTGACAATTAGAAGCCTCATGGCAATTTAAGAAAATGAAACTAGAGAATCTTGGTCTTACAATATAGTCATTTCAACACAATGTCAATAGTTTGCCAGGTGTCTACATAAGCTAATTATACTCCCTAAAGTAAGTTAATGTAGGGCAAATGTAAAGTCTTGTGTTAAAAAGATAATATACAAACTTGGAGTATTCATTTTCAGGTATCTCTTTGAAAAAAAAGATGCATTGGACTTAGTGAATTAATATAGCATATGGACAAAGTTGCTGGTACTTACAAAGTAATCTTGATTTTTCTCCTATCTTTTAGGCATTTGATGAATCATAGATGATGGAGATAATTAATTTAACAATTATAAAATAATTTTAAAATATTTTCAAACAAATAAACCAGAAACAAAAGAAATGCAATTGTGTCAAGGTTAGAAAAAAGATACTTTATTTGTTCTAATTGCTTAAACAGGCTACTTACCTGTTTAATTTTCACAGGAATCAATGACTTGACCTCTTCGTGAATTCTAGAATGTAGAAAATTTATCTGACCTCAAAAGCATGGGGAAAATCAATTTTGAAATTTTTTCTTAGATCAGGTAAATGTATTACATTGAAACTGAAGACGCATCTATCTGTCTGTCTTTTTCCGACTTGACCCAACTAAAAAACAAGTAAATTGAATTAAGAGCTGGGCAGTGAAAGAGGGGCCGCTGTGGCATCAAGAATTATTTGAAAGCACATTCTCTTTCTTTGGGGATATTGGGGAAGCGGTAGCAATTCTCCCTTAGCAACATTTCCTGGGGTCCTTCATTTTTTACATGAAAAAATTATTCATCCTTTAAAAGCATTTAATCTGGAACCACGTTTGCTCTGTATTTTCATATGCATCTAATCGACAAGAACTTTTATTACCGAGAGCAGTATTGGCATATTGAAAGATCTGCTCTTTGAGTGCTCAACTTTTTTTTACTCTTTTTCTGCCTTAGCCTTGCAGATAACTCAAGATTAAATTTCACTTTCAATACGCTGAATTTATAATAAGCCCCAGAAGATATATATTTGCTTAATATTGTCCTGTATCATTGGGAAAAGACACAGAAGAATATGGAGTACATGTTTTAGGGAAAAAAGCTTAATTTGGAATCAGATGTTGTAAAATAAATGAAAGACGTGTCATGGGAAAGAACCATTGTCATGTAAGTTGCTAATGTTTAATCCTTTACCTCCACCCTCCAGCAATATTTGGCACAGTGATAATATAAAGTTGGAATAAGAAAGGGATTGTACCACATTGTCCTGTGGATTTACTTAGGTTGAATTAAAGAACTTGCATCTTTATCATAGCCAAAAAGCTACTCAGTGATTAAAACTTTAAAATATTTTTCCTGGAAAATATTTCAAATTTCCGAATACACATTAGTCCAATATTTAAGTTCCAGTCTTATTGTCATTTTAGATAATGTTAATTATGTGGTTTGTTCCTTAAGTGTTTTTAAAATAAAAGTTTCGGAAAGCAAAGTAATGATAAATGCATGACTTATCAAATTTGCTTCGGTTTTTCATTATAGGAATTTTAGAAAAAATCCAAATTTAAGGTGTCGATTTTAGATCTTTCCTGCTTTCTCTTGTGGGCATTTAGTGCTATAAATTTCCCTCTACACACTACTTTGAATGTGTCCCAGAGATTCCGGTACATTGCGTCTTTATTCTCATTGGTTTCAAAGATCATTTTTATTTCTGCCTTCATTTCGTTATTTACCCAGTAGTCATTCAGGAGCAGGTTGTTGTTTCCATGTAGTTGTGCGGTTTTGAGTGAGTTTCTTAATCCTGAGTTCTAATTGGATTGCACAGTGGTCAGAGAGACAGTTTATCATGATTTCTGTTCTTTTACATTTGCTGAGGAGTGGTTTACTTTCAACTATGTGGTCAATTTTGGAATAAGCGCGATGTGGTGCTGAGAATGTATATTCTGTTGATTTGGGGTGGAGAGTTCTGTAGATGTCTATTAGGTCCACTTGGTGCAGAGCTGAGTTCAAGTCCTGGATATCCCTGTTAACCTTCTGTCTCATTGTTCTGTCTAATATTGACAGTGGGGTGTTAAAGTCTCCCATTATTAGTGTGTGGGAGTCTAAGTCTCTTTGTAGGTCTCTAAGAACTTGCTTTATGAATCTGGGTGCTCCTGTATTGGGTGCATATATATTTAGGATAGTTAGCTCTTCTTGTTGAATTGATCCCTTTACCATTATGTAATGGCCTTCTTTGTCTCTTTTGATCTTTGTTGGTTTAAAGTCCGTTTTATCAGAGACTAGGATTGCAACTCCTGCTTTTTTTTGCTTTCCATTTTCTTGGTAGATCTTCCTCCATCCCTTTATTCTGAGCCTATGTTTGTCTCTGCATGTGAGATGGGTCTCCTGAATACAGCACACTGATGGGTCTTGACTTTTTATCCAATTAAAAGAACTAGAGAAGCAAGAGCAAACAAATTCAAAAGCTAGCAGAAGGAAAGAAATAACTAAGATCAGAGCAGAACTGAAGGAGATAGAGACACACACACACACACATAAAAAACCCTTCAAAAAAACAATGAATCCAGGACCTGGTTTTTTGAAAAGATCAACAAAATTGATAGACCACTAGCAAGACTAATAAAGAAGAAAAGAGAGAAGAATCAAATAGATGCAATAAAAAAATGATAAAGGGGATATCACCACTGATCCTACAGAAATACAAACTATTATCAGAGAATACTATAAACACCTCTATGCAAATAAACTAGAAAATCTAGAAGAAATGGATAAATGCCTGGATACATAAACCCCCCCAAGACTAAACCAGGAAGAAGTTCAATCCCTGAATAGACCAATAACAGGCTCTGAAATTGAGGCAATAATTAATAGCCTACCAACCAAAAAAAGTCCAGTAACAGACTGATTCACAGCTGAATTTTTTTTTTTTTTTTTTTTTTTTTTTGAGACGGAGTCTCGCTCTGTCGCCCAGGCTGGAGTGCAGTGGCGGGATCTCGGCTCACTGCAAGCTCCGCCTCCCGGGTTCACGCCATTCTCCTGCCTCAGCCTCCCAAGTAACTGGGACTACAGGCGCCCGCCACTACGCCCGGCTAATTTTTTGTATTTTTAGTAGAGACGGGGTTTCACCGTTTTAGCCGGGATGGTCTCGATCTCCTGACCTCGTGATCCGCCCGCCTCGGCCTCCCAAAGTGCTGGGATTACAGGCGTGAGCCACCGCGCCCGGCCCACAGCTGAATTTTAAGAGAAGTACAAAGATGAGCTGGTACCATTCCTTCTGAAACTATTCCAATCAATAGAAAAAGAGGGAATCCTCCCTAACTCATTTTATTAGGCCAACATCATCCTGATACCAAAGTCTGGCAGAGACACAACAAAAAAAGAGAATTTTTGACCAATATACCTGATGAACATCAATGCGAAAATCCTCAGTAAAATACTGGCAAACCGAATCCAGCAGCACATCGAAAAGCTTATCCACCAAGATCAAGTTGGCTTCATCCCTGGGATGCAAGGCTGGTTCAACATACGCAAATCAATAAATGTAATCCATCACATAAACAGAACCAATGACAAAAACCACATGATTATCTCAATAGATGCAAAAAAGGCCTTTGACCAAATTCAACAGCCCTTCATGCTAAAAGCTCTCAATAAATAGACATTGATGGAACATTTCTCAGAATAATAAAAGCTATTTATGACAAACCCACAGCCAATATCATACTGAATGGGCAAAAACTGGAAGCATTCCCTTTGAAAACTGGCATAAGACAGGGATGCCCTCTCTCACCACTCCTATTCCACATAGTGTTGGAAGTTCTGTCCAGGGAAATCAGGCAAGAGAAAGAAATAAAGGGTATTCAGTTAGGAAAAGAGGAAGTCAAATTGTCCCTGTTGGCAGATGACATGATTGTATATTTAGAAAACCCCATCGTCTCAGCCCAAAATCTCCTTAAGCTGATAAGCAACTTCAGCAAAGTCTCAAGATACAAAATCAATGTGAACAAATCACCAGCATTCCTATACACAAATAACAGACAATCAGAGATCCAAATCATGAGTGAATTTCCATTCACAATTGCTAAAAAGAGAGCAAAATACCTAGGAATACAACTTACAAAGGATGTGAAAGACCTCTTCAAGGAGAACTACAAACCACAGCTCAACAAAATAAAAGAGGACACAAACAAATGGAAGAACATTCCATGCTCATGGATAGGAAGACTCAATATTGTGAAAATGGCCATACTGCCCAAGATAATTTATAGATTCAATGCCATCCCCATCAAGCTACTGAGGACTTTCTTCACAGAATTGAAAAAAACTACTTTAAAGTTCATATGGAACCAAAAAGAGCCAGCATTGCCAAGACAATCCTAAGCAAAAAAAACAAAGCTGGAGGCATCACACTACCTGACTTCCAACTACACTATGAGGCTGCAGTAACCAAAACAGCATGCTACTGGTACAAAAACAGAGATATAGACCAACGAAACAGAACAGAGGCCTCAGAAATAACACCACACATCTACAACCATCCGATCTTTGACAAACCTGACAAAAACAAGAAATGAGGAAAGGATTCCCTATTTAATAAATAGCGATGAGAAAACTGGCTAGCCATATGTAGGAAGCTGAAACTGGATCCCTTCCTTATACCTTATACAAAAATTAATTCAAGATGGATTAAAGACTTAAATGTTAGACCTAAAACCATAAAAACTCTAGAAGAAAACCTAGGCAACACCATTCAGGACATAGGCATGGGCAAGGGCTTCATGACTAAAACACCAAAAGCAGTGGCAACAAAAGCCAAAATAGATGAATGGAATCTAATTAAATTAAATTAAATTAAATTAAACAAAAGAAACTACCAGGGTGAAGAGACAACCTACAGAATGGGAGAAAAGTTTTGCAATCTACCCATCTGACAATGGGCTAATATCTGAAATCTGCAAAGAACTTAAACAAATTTGCAAGAAAAAACAAACATTCCCATCAAAAAGTGGGCAAAGGATATCAACAGACACTTCTCAAAAGAAGGCATTTATGCAGCCAACAGACACATGAAAAAATGCTCATCAGTGGTCATCAGAGAAATGCAAATCAAAACCACGATGAGACACCATCTCACACCAGTTAGAATGATGATCATTAAAAAGTCAGGAAACAACAGATGCTAGAGAGGATGTGGAGAAATAGGAATGCTTTTACACTGTTGGTGGGAGTGTGAATTAGTTCAACCATTGTGGAAAAGAGTGTGGAGATTCCTCAAGGATCTAGAACTAGAAATACCATTTGACCCAGCGATCCCATTACTGGGTATATACCCAAAGGATTATAAATCATGCTGCTATTAAGACACATGTACACATATTTATTGCAGCACTATTCACAATAGCAAAGACTTGGAACCAACCCAAATGTCCATCAGTGACAGACTGTATTAACAAAATGTGGTGCACATAACCATGGAATACTATGCAGCCATAAAAAATGATGAGTTCTTGTCCTTTGCAGGGACATGGATGAAACTAAAAACCATCATTCTCAGCAAAGTCACACAAGAAGAGAAAACCAAACACCGCATGCTCTCACTCATAGGTGGGAATTGAATAATAAGAACACTTGGATATAGGGCGGGGAACATCACACACCAGGGCCTGTCATGGGGTTGGGGGCTGGGGAAGGGATAGCATTGGGAGAAATACCTAATGCAAATGACGAGTTAATGGGTGCAGCAAAACAACATGGCACATGTATACCTATGTAACAAACCTGCACGTTGTGCATATGTACCCTAGAACTTAAAGTATAATAAAAAAATCCAAATTTAAATGAATTATGAAAAAAATGGCTGTCCAATTATGTAATTAAAAAATTAAAATCATTTTTTTCTCAAATGAGAATATGACAAGTTCCCCACAGTACTGATCTGATAACTTTTCAAGGCTGGATTAATCTTGTCCCATCTGAAGAGTTATGTTTGATTTGTTATATTTGTTAAATAATGTTCATGGTCGTTAATTAAACTATTCATTAGTCATGCATGTATTTACTACTGGAAAGAGTGATATTAAATCAGTGACATTTCCCCTGTTATGTTTTAGTTAAATGAACTACTGTAATTAGATTTAGATTTTGACCGAATGTATTTTGTGAAGCACTCTAAGACTTGAGACCATTAGGTAAAAGTTAAATAATGATTTTTAAACATGATTAACTGCTCACCGGCTAGCGAATTAAAAACCGAATGAAATACTGCAGCATATTTTACCGTACTAGTTTAAGATTCTGAAACAACAAAAAATGTGTTATCACTTTACTTTTATTTCAAGCTGGAGCCACAATCATTTAAAGACTTCCATTTGGGAGCAGTTATAGTTAATGTTCAATTCATGAGGATGTAGGGATGACTGCACATCGTGGGTTAATTTGTTTTTCTAGAATTTTGTCAGCTTAATAATCATTCTATACAATTCATCACATGTGTTTTCTTTTAATGTCAGCCAATGACTTGGGTAATCAGCTTAATTCTTCATATTTTATATGCAATATATTTATTCATGATAAATGTACAGTTACACTGGCTCTTGTTTACTTATAGTACATGCTATTTGGTAATAATCATGTACAAAATAAATGAATTAAACAATTTAATCAAATAAAACAGATATTGTAAAGCTCTGAGAACTGTATGTTGGGTATATATGTGTGTGTATGAAATCAAATTTAACCATTTAAGATTCCATAAATATTATGTAACTAGCAGATCCCTTTTACAAAAACATGTCCAACATTAAACTATTCCTAAATACATTAGGATATAAATAATAAAACTGTAGTGAGAAGGAGATAAATCATGATGACTTTTAGTGTTGTAATGTTGCTTGTATCTCAGCCTGTTATCCAAATTTCTGGGAAAGCTTATCTTTCTAAATCTTTCTCATAACCAAAGCAGACTCTACAAACTTTCTAAATTCCACATATAAAGCTCTTCCTAACAAGAACAAGGCTTTTCTCATTTGAAGCACACACCTTTCCTCTTATGTTGAATGCATTTAACATACTAAATATATTGGTAAACTAAAAACCCCAATTCAGATTCCTTTTTCTAGATTATCTTTAGATAATAGAGTCCAACATTTTAAAGCAAGGTAGAAGACTTAAAGGATAGAAAGAATGTAATGTTCCCAACAAAAAGAAAAGATAAGTGCTTTAGGTAATAGATATTCCAGTTACCATGATTTGATCATTACACATTGCATATGTGTATCAAAATATCACATACACTCCTAAATATGTACAGCTATGATATATCAATTAACAAATACGAAAAAAGTCTTTAAATATTATTGCCCACCACTGATGGTAATATATTAATAGATAAAACATTTCTTTTTCATTTTAGTAATGGATAGTTATCTATTTCAACAGGTACACTTAAAAATTCTAATAATTTTTGTTCAATAGGTAAAAAAGAGTGTTGGTTTAAATGTGTTTATTATTAACTGAACTGTGCCTTTAAATGGTCTTTTGTCTCTATCACATTAAGACACATATTAATATATGCATGGATATGTAAATGAATGACATTATATGAAAGTCAGTAAGAGGTTTTGTAGTTTAAATCTTTTAAAAATATTCTGCTCATGGCATAGCTCAATGACAGGTAAAATCTTGGTAGCTCCCAAGAGACTAGCAGATTTTCACATAAGCGATAGCAGATCCTCCCTTCTAATGCCCTTACCTTTTACATTTTACATCAAAATATAATTTACATCTTACATCAAAATACAATTTATATACGGATAATACAGTATCAGTTATAAAAGTCACAAATTCTTACAACCTTTCATCAAATTCATTTTGAAATTTATAATTGCCTGACAGTTTGGAGACTAACATTCATAATAATTCGTAAGGCAACAGGAAGAACTGGCTACATTCAAATGTATTCCAGGTTCTATGATTGTAATTTTGAATTAGACTAAGGAGTAGAAATTTTGCATAATACATACTGATAATGTCATAGTTTCACATCTCAGCATGACATTTGACATCAAGAAACAGTTAAGTGGCCAGTATTTCTCACCAGAATTTTACATGCAGTTTTATGTGAAAAGTGGTGAGGAACCTAAATTAAAAATGAATTGGTGTTTAAAAATTATTGCAAGAGCCAATATTTCAGTTGGGTGAGTAAGAAAGCCTTTGCAGGAAGTATGCTGCTTCATGAACTTGGAGAGCAGCCTTGTTTATATTTTTTGGACTAATCTCATTCAACTTTTTATCTATTGTTTCTGTGATGATATCCAGGGCATTTAATCAACTGTGTGGCTAACTTGACTATAAAAAGGTAACTGCATAGTTTTGCGTTAGACAATCAATATCTCAAAAGCTCTCATCTAGCTTGGAGTACATCCAATAAAATGAAGTTAAATGAAGTCAAATGTAAAGTTTTGTGTTTCAGATTGAAAATAAAAGAAAATAAAGTAAATTAATGAGAGACAAAATCTAATAATACTAATAGAGGATAAAAAAGAACAACAGCACAAGTAAATAAAATGATGTAAAAAGCAAAATAAAACACTAGCAAAATTACTGAAAAATACATCATAAAATAAAAAGTGAATGGTGGTGGTTTATACCACTAACAGGATTTTTGTCAATGTCAAATGAAAATGCAGTATCTAAGAACAGGGGTGGGAAAATCTGCTTAGACCACATTTAGAACAGTGTTTCCTTCCACAAATAAGACTTTAAGGGAAATACTGACATAAACTGAACCGTATTCAAATATATGTGACCAGGCTGATGAAGTAATTAGACTCCAAGCTTTAATAGGGATTGGGAATGTTTATTCTATCCCAGGGTATAGATTTTAACTTTTTAAAAATATTTTTATGACCGGGCACAGTGGCTCATGCCTGCAATCCCAGCACTTTGAGGCCGAGGCGGGAGGATCACGAGGTCAGGAGATTGAGACTATCCTGGCTAACATGGTGAAATCCCGTCTCTACTAAAAATACAAAAAATTATCTGGGCATGGTGGCAGGAGCCTGGAGTCCCAGCTACTTGGGAGGCTGAGGCAGGAGAATGGCGTGAACTGGAGGGGTGGAGCTTGCAGTGAGCTGGGGCTTGCAGTGAGCCGGAGCTTGCAGTGAGCCGGAGGGGTGGAGCTTGCAGTGAGCCGAGATCGCGCCACTGCACTCCAGCCTGGGTGACAGAGCAAGACTCCAACTCAAAAAAAAAAATTTATATGTATATATATACACACACATATATATTAGGGGTGTCATCAGAACAGATATTAGAATTGTTCCATATACTCATTACAGAGTCAAACTTTACTAAGCAGAATAAAATAAATTATAAGGAAAAAGAATTGGCTTTAATATGAAGATACAAGGAAGATGGAACAAGTTTTCAGAAATATCAATTTCCTCTACCTTGAGAATGTTCAAAACCAGTTTGATCACAAATTGGTGAGATTAAGAAATTTTTATACATGATATTTAAAGTACCTTATTATTCTGAAATTGGTGATTCTATAAACAAAAATATTTTATTGGGTTCCAAAAATTGGCATATATTTGCCTACCATCCCAAAAAAGTAGGAAACATTTCCATTGTTTACTGAGCAAAGTGTCATGCAGACATTTTCAGTTAACATGCATTGACATCATGAAAACTACTCACCCTTTTGTATGGCACTAAAGCTTTCTCCTCTTTGAAGCCAGCACTCAGAGTGTGTCTGGAATTGGTGGGTTGTTGGTCTCACTGACTTCAAGAATGAAGCTGCGGACCCTCGTGGTGAGTGTTACAGTTCTTAAAGATGTTGTGTCCGGACTTTGTTCCTTCTGATGTTCGGAGTTGCTTCCTTCTGGTGGGTTTGTGGTCTCGCTGGCTTCAGGAGTGAAGCTGCAGACCTTTGCGGTGAGTGTTACAGCTCCTAAGGCAGCACGTGTGGAGTTGTTTGTTTCTCCCCTCCAGAGTTGTTCATTCCTCCCTGTGGGTTCATGGTCTCGCTGGCCTCAGGAGTGAAGCTGCAGACCTTTGCGGTGAGTGTTACAGCTCATAAAAGCAGTGCAAACCCAAAGGGTGAGCAGCAGCAAGATTTATTGCAAAGAGCAAAAGAACAAAGCTTCCACGCTGTGGAAGGCGACGCGGCAGGTTGCCAGTGCTGGCTTGGGCAGCCCGCCTTTATTCCCTTATCTGACCCCATCCACATCCTGCTGATTGGCCCACTTTACAGAGAGCTGATTGGTCCATTTCACAGAGAGCTGATTGGTCTGTTTTGACAGGGTGCTGATTGGTGCGTTTACAATCCCTGAGCTAGACACAGAGCACTGATTGGTGTATTTACAATCCTTTAGCTAGAAGTAAAAGTTCTCCAAGTCCCTACTAGATTAACTAGACACAGAGCACTGATTGGTGCATTTACAAACATTGAGCTAGACACAGGGTGCTGATTGGTGCATTTACAAACCTTGAGCTAGACACAGAGTGCTGATTGGTGTATTTATAATCCCTTAGCTAGACGTAAATGTTCTCCAAGTCCCCACTAGATTAGCTAGACACAGAGCACTGATTGGTATATTTACAAACCTTGAGCTAGACACAGGGTGCTGATGGGTGCATTTACAATCCTCTAGCTAGACATAAAAGTTCTCTAAGTCCCCACCGGATTAGCTAGACACAGAGCACTGATTGGTGCATTTACAAACCCCAAGCTAGACACAGAGTGCTGATTGGTGCATTTACAATCCTTCAGCTAGACATAAAAGTTCCCCAAGTCCCCACCTGGACTCAGGAGCCCAGCTGGCTTCGCCTAGTGGATGCCGCGCCCAGGGGTGGAGCTGCCTGCCAGTCCCGCGCCATGCGCATGCACTCCTCAGCCCTTAGGCGGATGGGACCGGTTGCTGCGGCACAGGGGCGGTGCCCTTCAGGGAGGCGCGCAGGAGCCCATCTTGGGGGAGCTGGAGCATGGCGGGCTGCAGGTCCCAGCCCTACCCCATGGGGAGGCGGCTGAGGCCCAGCGAGAATTCGAGCACTGCGCACGAGGGACGGCAGTGCTGGGGGACCGGGCGCCCCCTCCGCAGCTGCTGGCCTGGGTGCTAAGCCCCTCACTGCCCGGGGCTGGCGGCGACGGAGGGCGGCTCCGAGTGAGTGCGGGGCGCGGAGCCCCACGCCCACCCGGAACTCACGCTGGCCCGCGAACGCTGCGCGCAGCCCCAGTTCCCGCCTGCGTCTCTGCCTCCACACCTCCACGTAAGCAGAGGGGGCCAGCTCCAACCTTGGCCAGCCCAGAGAGGGGCGTCCCACAGTGCAGCGGCGGGCTGAAGGGCTCCTCAAGCCTGACCAGAGCGGACGCCGAGGCCGAGGAGGCGCTGAGAAGGAGCGAGGGCCGCCAGCACGTTGTCACCTCTCAAGAGTAAGTGAAAAAGTTTGAAAATTATAATTGTTACGAAAGCAGAGCTGTTGAAAACCGTGTAAGTCTATGTCTGTATTCTTCAGAGCCACATTGTATTTGTATTTAGTAGAGAGAATATCAAAGGGGAATGAGATCCCCTTTTTTCTTCTTGTGAGTAGTCACCATTATAATGATAGCTAACAGACTACTATCTTTCACATGTTAAGAATCTAATAAGCATTTTTTAATCGAAAGGTTCAGAACGACTACAGCCTTGACATTAACCCTGGAAATCAGATTCTGTGCTAAAATGGGGGTGACCAAGGAACAGATGTACAAGGTACAACACTCCCCTTAAACTAACCACTTCACTCTCCCAAAGCAACGTGTTTCTGTGTGAAAATTGAGTTAACTTTCATGAAGCCATATGGTGGTTGTGGCAGGCAGAACAAAGGCCTCCCCAAAGATATAATTGTTTCAATACCTGGAATCTGTAAATACATGTGTTACATGACAAGGGGAAATCAAGGTTAGCAATCTGATGACCTTAAAATAAGATTATTGTTGCTTATTTGGGTGGGCTAAAGGGTTCTTACAAATGGAGGAGGGAGGCAAGAGAGTCAAGTGTCAGTTTTGCAATGTGAGAAACATCCCACTGTCCATTACTGGGTTGAAAGATGGAGGAAGTGAACCCTGAGTCAAGAAATGGGCGAAGCCTTTGGAAGCAAGGAAGTACAAGGAAATGGATTCTTCTTCAGAAAGGAATGCAGCACTGCAAACCCTAAGTTTAGCTCAGTGAGACCCATGTCAGACTTCTGATTTCCAGAACTGTAAGATAATATGTGTAGTTTTAAGCCACTAAATTTGAAGTAATTTGTTACAGCAGCTATAGGAAACTAATACAGTAGGTAATAAGAATAGAATGACTTAGGTGTTTCTTTTTTCCCCACTATGATTTCTTTCTTAAGAGATTCTCTTAAGTATTTTGCAGTAGCCTTTTTACCAGTGATTCACTTGACAGCAAGAAAATGTTTTACAGCATAGATTGTCTGCTAAACAACCTAATCAAAATATTATTAAACAATTACACTGCAGTAGGCTGTTTAATGAAGTGTTTTCAGTGTGGTTTGAGCACTAATAGCAACAATGTTAAGCTGTTTTGTGCTCTGTGTATCAAAGAGCTTGTAGTAATGTGAGTTGACTAAGAGCCAAATAAATCCTGAAGCATCTTTGACAGACAATATACTTGTGCCAGTCTAAATTTTGTCAGGTATTATTATTGTGCATGAAAAGGAAAAATATAAGACTATCAAGAGCTTTCATATACAGTATATCATGTTAAAATCCCTGATAACTAGGTACTTTCCAGGCTTCCTTCCGTCAGATTTTTATGACTATTGGCTTCATCTGAATTTGAATCTGAGTATAAATTTAAAAGTACATAATCAAAAATTAAGCCAACTACTCTTGAACTGCCATCTGCATCAGTACCTAACATGGAAGCAGTGGTATCCATAGTGGATTTCAGAAAGTCTTTTGAAATGGAGGAAAGAAAATATAACATGATTGATAGGTAAATATAAAGAAAATGAATAAAAGTACACCTGAAGATATGGCTACAGTGTGCTTTCACTGGCTTTCAAGTGAGTACTTTCCATTTAGCCAATTACATTTTCTTTCTTCTGGTGGTATTCTTTTGTGAAGAGTTCCAAGTCAGAAAGCCTTACTGTTTTATTGTGTTAATCAAAAAGACGAAATATTAATTTAAGAATAATCATAATACTAGACACTATTGATAGTCAAAGAGAAATGAAGGAAGGGGGATGAACCGAAAGTTCATGCAAATAGTTTGAAATTATGAAGGAAAATTCTCTCAAGTCCAGTTCTTTTTGGGTTTTCCTTTATGGACAAGAAAATAAATTAGAATTGCTACCCTGGAAACAAAACAAAACAAAATCTTTTCTGAATGAAAGATACTTTTTAAAAAGTTATACTTTAAATTCTGGGATACATGTGCAGAACGTGCAGGTTTGTTACATAGGTATACACATGCCATGGTAGTTTGCTGCACCCAACAACCCGTCATCTACATTAGGTATCTTTCCTAATGCTATCCCTCCCCTAGCCTCACTCCCCAACAGGCCCTGATATGTGGTGTTCCCCTCCCTTTGTCCATGTGTTATCATTGTTCACTTCCCATTAATGAGTGAGAACATGCAGTGTTTGGTTTTCTGTTCCTTTGTTAGTTTTCTGAGAATGATGGTTTCCAGCTTCATACATGTCCCTGAAAAGGACACGAACTCATCCTTTTTTATGGCTGCATAGTATTCCATGGTGTATATGTGCCATGTTTTCTTTATCCAGTCTGTCACTGATGGGCATTTGGGTTGGTTCTGAGTCTTTGCTATTGTGAGTAGTGCTGCAGTAAACATATGTGTGCATGTGTCTTTATAGTAGAATGATATAATCCTTTGGGTATATACCCAGTAATGGGATTGCTGTGTCAAATGGTGTCTCTGGTTCTAGATTCTTGAGGAATCGTCACACTGTTTTCCACAATGGTTGAACTAATTTACACTCCCACCAACAGTGTAAAAGCATTCCTATTTCTCTACATCCTCTCCAGCATCTGTTGTTTCCTGACTTTTTAATGATCGCCATTCTAACTGGTGTGAGATGGTATCTCATTGTGGTTTTGATTTGCATTTCTCTAATGACCGGTCATAATGAGCTTTTTTTCATATGTTTTTGGCCACATAAATATCTTCCTTTGAGAAGTGTCTGTTCATATCCTTTGCCCACTTTTTGATGGGGTTGTTTGATTTTTTCTTGTAAATTTGTTTAAGTTCCTTGCAGATTCTGGATATTTTTCTTGTAATGTGTTTTAAAGGCAGTGCCTTCTTAAGGAGATGAAAACTGAGGGGAATGCTTTGGAGAAGATAATTGGATAATACACTTCAAAAAATTAAAACTTATCCTATTCATGACTTTGCACACTGTATAGGTGTGAGCTTTAACAAGCTCTCCTGTTGTATGTCACGACCTCACTTGGGCCCCTCTTAAGAAATCTGTGTAAATCTAACATTTGTTGCATTCACTGGTTCCCTAACAGGGCAGCAGCCTGCCACTCCCTTTCATTGCAATTTATCTGCTATGTTTAAAAACAAAACAAAACAAAAATCAACAACAAGGAAATTACTGCTTGGAGTTCTGTCAGTTCTCTCTGTTTAGCCCTTCTTGTTCTCTCTCTTATGAGATATTAGCGCCCTCTCAGCTGCTCTCAGTGCATTCATCGTCTCCTATCATTGTCTCTGTTTCTACTTCCATCATTTGTCATCTTAATGCTGAGGTATTTTGACAAGTGGGATGAACTCTGATTAACTGATTATCAGAAGTGGACGAGAGAAGTTGAGGGCACTGGATGACACACTATTTCATATTTTACTCTCATCCAATTCATATCTATCAAGCAGATTGTAGAGTGTTATTACTCAGCATTCTCCAAATTGGGTTATTTTCCCTAATAGTATCAGTTCTGCTGATGTTTCTCTAAGTCTAGATGGTATTGAGAAACTAGCCTCAATTGTTAATGTGTAAGATCTTTCTGTTTTCAAACTATTGGAGAAAATTTTTGTTTGTTTTTCAAATTAGATGGCAAAATATTCCTAAAATCCTCATGTCTGTCAGGCTCAACTTTACTTTTTAAAGTAAATGTTAAACTGAATTCAATAACAATTTTTGGCAACTTATTTTAATAATGGAGATGCTATTAGAAGAATCACAGATTATTCATTTATGCCTTTGATGTTTTGCAGAGAAAAAAACACAGCTTATTACTAAATGTGGGATTCAAGATATCTGTCTAAATATATGTAGTAGTTTAATCTTTCCAGAAGAAAATCAAATGAAACCAGCAAATTTCATTTTAAATGAATAATAAACAAATGTATATTATTGCATCTTACCAGATGCTGAGGTCTGAGATATTTTCTTGGGGTTTAAAAATATTTACTATTGCTCTAAGGGATTCAATGTTTAAAAGTTCTTAAAATATATAATTTAAAACATAATTAGGGAATTCCAAAAACCAAATGTTTGTTTTATGTCTATATTAACTAAATAAAATTAAGAATTGATAGAACATACTGACTTTAAACACCCCCCTTCCCATAATTTGTGATATTATTTCCTAAAGTTTGTTTACACTTTCCTTATATGCTTGTTCTCTCAAAGTTCCAATGTTCCAGCTTTGTTTTCTTACTCTCTCATTTTTAGTTTGTATGCATACCATTTCCATGTTACATTAATAGTATTGATGCTTTGGTGATGGTGGAACTAAAAGATAGTATGTATTTTGTAATTACTTTAAAAGGTTTTACTAGGCAAGTACCTAATTGTTTAGCTAAAATAAATGTTATTGCTTTCTTATAAGTTAGTTGGGCCTGAGGTCAGCTGCACAAACTCTGAGTTTTTTTTTTTTTTTGAGACAGAGTCTAGCTCTTGTCTCCCAGGCTGGAGTGCAGTGGCGCAATCTCGGCTCACTGCAAGCTCCGCCTCCCAGGTTCATGCCATTCTCCTGCCTCAGCCTCCTGGGTATCTGGGACTACAGGCGCCTGCCACCACGCCTGGCTAATTTTTTGTATTTTTTTAGTAGAGACAGGCTTTCACACCGTGTTAGCCAGGATGGTCTCGATCTCCTGACCTCGTGATCTGCCTACCTCGGCCTCCCAAAGTGCTGGGATTACAGGCGTGAGCCACCGCGCCCGGCCAACTGTGACTGTTTTTTTTAATGAACCTTTACATTCTCAAAACACATGCAGCATAATTTATTCTTAAAAGCTATAAGCCCACAACTAGTATGCTGCTGTTCGAACATCTGATATCTTCCAAAAATTGTATTCTGTGTTAAAACCGTGATTATAAGCATTCATTATTTTAAAATGCCAATGGCAATGACTGTAAACTACAAAGGAGATGAAGGCAAAGTTCTTTTCAAGTTTTGAAATATGCGTCTGTTATTGCATGTTGATAATTTATGCTCAAGCAAAGGTGCTATTGAAATAGCATGACTATAGTATAGTATGGGTTTTCAAGCGCAAACATAAATTGTAGCATTTTATTTTTTAAAAATAGGAATTTTGGCCAGGTGTGTGGCTCACTCTTACAATCCCAGCACTTTGAGGGTCCAAGGCGAGTAGATCACTTGAGCCCTGGAGTTCAAGACCAGCCTGGTCAAAATGGTGAAACCCTGTCTCTATGAATAAAAAAATTGAAAAAAATTAGCCAGGTGTGGTGGTGCACACCTGTAGTCCCAGCTACTCAGGAGACAGATGTGGGAGGATCACATGAGCCTGCAGATGTGGAGGCTGCAGTGAGCCATGATCTCGCACTCCAGCCTGGGCAACAGAGTGAGATCATTTCCAAAAAAAAAATAAATAAATGAAATAAATATGTATTTATTTTTCATAGTTTGGTTTTGAGAAACCTTGATTTTAATAAAGAGAGAAATGAATGTTTAATCAATGCCATGATGAATTTGTATGGTAATATTTATTGGTTTTCCAGTTGTCTTAGAAAGTTTGTGAACTTTGTGACTTGTATGACCAAACACAATTTTTATAATGTACAGGTACTTTTTGTAAAGTGGCTAAAATGTTACGACTCTATGCTACCTGAGTAGCGTTTCTATGCAAAGAAAAAGGTGATACCTCAGTGAAATTACTCAGGGTTAGAACTGAAGTTTAGCAATATCTCCCACATAGATTGGAATTCAGTGGTTTTTGTTTAATTTATGATGTTTAAGAATTTTTAAAGTCTTCTGTGAACTTTAAAAAATTTTAAAGCTTTCGTTAAATTATGAATCTAGACTAAACGGTGAGAAATTTCTTTGCACTTTGCCATACTGATCTTACATGAGGTAAGAATAGTTGGTCTTGTGGTATATTTATTTACTTCAATGACAATTAGAAGCAAGACCCCAGAAAGGTGTTTTCCTAAAACACATGTATAAAAGTTCATAGCATATTTAAGAAAACATATTTAGTGTGTATTAAGTCATTGGTTGCTTCTTTCAGTGCCACCAACTCCTTGGAACAGTATAGTAAGACCCAGATTCAGAAAAGTAAGATCTCTTTGTTCTTAAAATTATTTTAGAGTTTAAATCTGTGTCCATGGTTTTTTTAAATGGACTATCCACATTTTCTATTTCAAATGTGGCAATGTTTATGTTTATCTTTATTATTCATTCATGTTTATATATTATTTAATATTAATATTATTATTAGAACATTATATTCAAAGAGTTATTCTTGTGGTCTCTTTTATCATATTCAGAAGCTTGCAGATATAACTACCAACTCAGAGTTCCTGGTTTTCTCTTTCCATAAATATCCCATAGGCTATTAGATGTCGCAGAGCGTCAGCTTCATCCCCTAATTTGCAGATGAGGCAGCCAAGTCTGGAGATGATAATTTGCTGGCCCCACATTACGTGGCTGGTGAGTGACAGACCTGGGACAGAGCCAGGACTGGAACTCCAGTATCTTAACAAGGAGTCTTTTTCTGCACAGTGTTTCTCCTCCTGAAACCGAGTTCCTCTGTAAGGGAAACCTGTTTCCAGGGTCTTCAATTTTATGCTAGTTTTTTATATTAAAAATGTGTTTTTCCAAATATAGAGTTATTGACCTCACATACTTCCTTGATATTGGTACTCCAGTAGACTTCATGAGTTTTCCTGGGAGTCTACATTTGATTCTCTTTGTGACTAAATTCACACTCTTTTTAACTTGTCTGGGAATGGTGGTGTGGCTATTCCTACAAAATCAATTGACTAATATTGGCTGAGTTGAAATTAATGTAACAAAATTGGCCTCTTTGTGTGTGTATGTATATGCACGACACGGGCCTTGCCTCTGCTTCCTCTTTTACTTGCCATGGAGACAATCTCCTTATCTCCACCTTGAACCTGTATTTGTAAAAGAATATAAAAACAAGCAAGTCCATTTTCACACCAGGATGTATGGGTAAAAACACAAAATAAGTGACCCATTCAGGAGTTATTTGCATTTTACAAGGAATTCAGAATTACTAGGAAGTACTGTAATCTGGAATGAGAGTTTGTGAAAGAGTCTCCATCTACTACTGCCCAAGGCATGCTCTCTGTAAATAACTGCTTGGGACACTGCCAGAAGAGACAAAATCTCTGAATACTCTAACTTAGTCTCCAGCTGAGCTCTGGTAGACTGCAACATGGAAGAAAGGAAGCAAGTTTGAAATAATAGCAATTTTTGAAAGAAAAAAATTCACATGCCTTTTGATTAGTTTATTTTTTGAGGTATATCTAAAACCAGAACTTTCTGAAAGCTGATTTTTGAACAATTTTTGTTGGCATTATTTATATTTTCTCAGAGGAACTACAATTCTTTCAAAATTTAGAAAAGTAAATGTATTAACTCTACAGACAATCTCAAAAGTATTTTATATGGATTTGTAGCATTGGGCAACAATACTAGGGTTTATTTTTAGAATTCCATGAAATTCCTTATATTTTAATTGTTTAATTGTTGGAGGAAGGGTACAAATATGGCCCTACTCCTTCATATATACTCTTTCTAGATTAAAAAATTATTGAGACTAGTTACACAGAAATTTCTGTTTCATATATATATATATATATATATATATGGAAATGCTCTGTGTGTGTGTATATATATATATATATATACACACACACACACACAATTTCCTTGTGTAGGAAGAACCAACAACTTGAAATAATTGAAATTACAAGTCATCTTGGTCAATGCTTAGAAAGAGATGATGGTAGTTGGTCGTCTATGTATTTTGAACCAGAGCTTTTAAAGCCTCAAACGACTGAAAGAGAATAGAAAACACGTTTTTAGATTACAAACTCAAGACAGTTACCATGGGAAGTTTCCACAGTTTACATTAGCTCTATCAAAAGAATGAGAAAGACGTTAATAAAATGAAAAAAAAGTAGATAAAGAAGTAGGAAGAGAAAGATAAATAGAATAAAGAGAAGAATACATCTTTTGTGTATTTTTAAATATTTTAATTGTAAACTTAACTCTCCCTTTAAGCTGGAATGTCTGTATTCTATAGCTTTATATTCTGTTTTGTCATGGAGGAAAATAAAATGAGTAAGGGTAATTCTGAAAATAAATACAGAAATACGTGACTATGTTTCTTTAAAATAACTAATGCAAAAAGTCTTTGCCCTATTTTGGGGTAAGATGTAACAGTGCTGATGTTAGTACAGATTACCTTGCATCATGGAATATGTATAGAGAGGGTGCAGGGAGTCTTCCTCTGAGGTAAATTTCTGAATGGCTAATTTTTTTTTTTACTTCACTAACTTGGTTGAAACTTTGGATACAAAATTCAGCGAAGAAATAAATGAATATAAACCATCAGAAACTGCAGTTAAAGTCACATATTTAAATAAATAAAAATAAGCTTTTCTGGAAAGATTTAAAAATAGGAAAATAATGTTTTATGAAAGTAAATTAGCTAGGGGATTTTTCTTCAAAAGGCTAGCGGATTTTATTCAATTATATGTGGATTTTTTTAAAACCCCTCCCCTTTTTGCATGCTCTAAAATGACTTCCCTAATTATCACCCAGCAATCAACAAGTATTGGTTGTGTGACCATTTGCCAGGAGAAGTTGATGATATTAATGATGATGACCATGCCTAATAAGAAATCAGCACTTAGCATGTACCAGGCATGCTGTTCAGTGCTTTGCTGAAGTGCTTTCTACAATAACCATCTGGATTATGTACTATAATCATTCTCATTTTACAGATAAAAGTTTCAGGGTCAGAGAAGTAAAGTGCTTCACTCATTGTTACACAGCTACTAAGCACATGGTCTACATTTGAAGTGAAGCAGATTTCTCCTAAATTTGTGAAGTGACAGCATTTTTAAAACTAAAGAAACTGTGATGAAATTCCATGATTTGGAATCTAATCCTGAACAGGTTATGTACTAAAAATCGGTGAGAATTTGAGTAAATTTACTTTATGTAGTTGCACCTCAGTTTTTAAAAATCTGTAATTATGTGTTTAGAATTAACCATTTTCTGTGTTACTTCTGATCAGAATAATATTGTTGCTAAAGAAAATTAGGGATACAGAAATGGTATTTCTAAATGCATTAGCAGAAAAAAAGAGATAAGCCATTTCCTGAAATACAGAATTACTTTTTTTTTTTTTTTTCGAGACGGAGTCTCGCTCTGTTGCCCAGGCTGGAGTGCAGTGGCGTGATCTCGGCTCACATAGAATTACTTTATTTGATATTTTTTGATATATTTGTACGTTAGAGTACATCCCCAAATGTGTAAATCCATAAATTCTAAGAATTTCTGTATATTGACTTGTATATTTTTGATTGAGTTCCTTATAATGTAGTATAATAAAATACTGTAACGATGAATAATTACCACCAACACTGCAGAGTCAGTGGTAAATTCAACTTTCTAAAAATGCTTAAATTAACTTGGATAATAAGGCTACTATGAAATTAGAATCTTATTTGGGACTTATAAATCTTGTTATATCCCTAACTTATATAGTGAAAATTTGTTTTAGTCTGAGAAAGTTAGAGCTGAATGTTTAAAAAATGTATTCTGCTACAAAATCAAAACATCTCAATTTTGTATCTTTCTAGGTATCTATCTGCTCTTAGCATAAAACTTTAGCAACATTTAATTTGTAAACCTCTTGGAAAAACCACAGGTTTTCTTAATGAATTTATAGATTTTCTTTCTCAACTCTCTCTGGAATCACACAGCCTATTAATCTTAGGTGATTTTAGTGTCCATATTGACAACGTTGAAGATGGGTTTGGCATAAATGTAATTTCCCTCTTTAATTCTCTTGGCTTCACGTGGCCCATCTGTCAGATCACTCTATCATAGAGGGGACAGACCATTTCCAACATCACCATCTATTCCCCCTAGTTGTGCTCTTTTGCAACTAAGGTTTTACCCAGTACTCTTCATGATCCCTTTTTTTTAAGGCACTTTATTTCATCATTGAAATGTCACTTATGTTTATTTCTTTAGTACCAAATATTGAATATTAATTTCATTTCAGAATAATCTATTTTTCACGTTGACATTTTAGTCCAAAATAATTGTAGATTACCTGTCACATCCACCCCTGATTTGTCAATTATAATTCCCCTTGTGCATTCTATTAATAGTAGGGATGCAGTATTTCTCCAGTATCCTTTTGCTTTGAGAAAAAAATAACTGAGGCCATCTTTGATACTATAGTCATTTATGTAACTATGTACTTTAAATTTTTATTTTCTTTTTTCTACCCTGGCCAGATAATGAAAACATTTTGTTGGCAGACATTATACTATTAGAAATTTGCCATTTCAACTTTCTAATAAAATAAAAATGTGCTGAATGTGTCTTTTCTATTTTGTTTATCCTACAACTGTCAGGAGAATGGAAACATGTTATTTTTTATTATATTATATTGTTTCTACATAAGTAAATTCTTTTATATCCTTTCACTAAGTTGATGTTTATGTGTAACTTTATTTGCAACCTATTATTGGCTTATAAGCATAAGTAACTTTTAGTGGTTCTGTTAAATATCTACAATAAAAGAAGTATATGTGGATGAGAACATGATTTATTGGATGACTAACACTCATTTTCTGGAAAAAAAAATAGTCCTGATACTGATGTGAGTTAATCAACAGTGTAGAATGTACCCTAAAACTTAAAGTATAATAATAATAAAATTAAAAAAAAGAAACAAATAAATAACAAATAAATAAATTCTACTTCTGAAAAAAAAAAGAATTTATTTCTGTCCTCTAAGTACATAGGGAACAATAGTTGCTCATCATTATTAAGTTAGTAACTTATCCCAATTTTAAATTCCCTTAATTAACATGTTTAGCCACCATTTTGCCTTCACTATTTTACATATTTCAAAAAATTTATTATTTTTCATTTTTAATATTTTAGAGAAAGGATATCATTCTGTTATCTCAGCTAGAGTGCAGTGGTGTGAACATAGCTTACTGTAGCCTCAATCTCTTGGGCTCAAGTGATCTTCCTGCTTTAGCCTCCCAAGTAGCTTGGACTACATATGCACACCACTATTCCCAGCTATTTTTTTTTTTTAGAGATGGGGTCTGGCTGTGTTGCCCAGGCTCTTGGCTTAAAGCAATCCTCCTGCTTTGGCCTCCCAAAATGTGGGATTATATTAATATGTTTGAGCAACCATGCCTAGAATATTTATCTCATTAAGATTCACAGTAAAAATAATAAATATCCTAAGTCACATTCCTTAAAGTCATCTAAATATTACAAGTAGAAAATTCAGGATATTCAAGTTCAAAGCTTGCTTTTCCTACCAATGCAGTTTCACAGTAATACTATGGAGACACTTGATTTTTATTTGGTATGAAGTATTAAATCATTTATATTATTTGAATAATGGGATAATACTTTCTATTTATGTAGAATCATTTTCCCCAGGAGACTTCAGAACAAATATCTAATGTTTTCTCATTTATCTTTACAATAATTCATTGATGTTAGGAACTTATTTTTATTATCTCCATTGATTGGGAAACATAGTACCTATTATTACTAATATTATGTACAGAAATAGAATGACTAACTTTACATAAGCAGGTCTCCAGGACTGCAACTGAGGCATTCTGGTGATTATAATTAACTGAGAATATAAAATATGTGTATTAGTCAGAGTTTCCAGAGAAACATTACCAATAGTATATATGTACAGTCATGCTTTGTATTTGCAAAAGAAATCCATGATTGGTTGAATCTGAAGAGGCAGAACCTATGGATATGGAGGACCATATTAAAAAAACAGACTTTTTTCTCATTAATGTTCCTCAAATAATACAGTATAACAATGATTTTAATAGCATTTACATTTGTATTAGGTGTTATAAGTAATCTAGTGGTGATTTAAAATGCATGGGTGTTTGTACATAGGCTATGTGCAAATACTATGCCATTTATATGAGGGACTTCAGCATCTGCAACTTGTACTGGGAGTCGGGGTTTCTGGAGCCAATCCCTCACGGCTACCTGCACACACACACACACACACACACGTGCGCACATGCATGCGTACATGCACGTGTGTGCATGTGGATAGATAAATAGACAGACAGATAGACAGATTGATACATAGCAATAATCCAGATAGAGACTCTGGTAGCTTGGATCTAGATTGTAGTGGTACAGGTAGTGGTAGAGAGAGATAAAGAGAGACAGAAAGAGAGAGATTTCTTTTAAGAAACCAGGTTATAAAATTGTGGGAGTGGGCAAGTTCAAATCTGAAGGGAAGGCTAGCAGGGTGGAAATTCAAGTATGGATTGATGATTCAGTTTTGAGACTGAATTTTGCAGGGCAGCAGGCTGAAAATTCAGGCACAGTTTCTATGTTGCAGTCTTGAGAATTCCTTCTTTGAGCAACCTTGGTCCTTGTCCTAAGGCCTTCGACTGATGGGATGCGACTCACTGATGTTATGCAGAATAATCTGCTTTACTCAAAGTCCATTGATTTTAAAAATTAATCACATTGAAAAAATATTTTCTCAGCCACATCTAGACTTTTTCGAAAAAGCAACAAACATTTTTGGTGTTTAACAGAACTAATGGGTACCAGGGACCAGTAAGATGCCATTTAAAATTACCCATCACATCTTGATATATTATAGATTATTCTAAACCTGGTGACATGTCTGGTATGTTCAGAAGGTATATATGAATAACTGGACAATGTTCTTGCAATGTCTGTAGTTGTATGTCTCTTTACATTTATGCTGTATTAGTTTGGATTTATGGTCAAAATGCATGTGTGTTTTGGGAAGGTGTGAGTTCTAGTTAATCTAATCAGAATATGTGATTGCCATTTTCTCAGCTCCAGTCATTTAATTTATAGTTTTTGATAACTAGGTATTGTGCTAATCACAGGAAAAATCGTGTTTAGCAAAATGGATACAATCCTGCACTCTTGGACCTTGCTGCTCAAGGTGCATTCAAATTTAGTGGTTAGTTATATAAATATCCCTATGACTCACTTCTAGAAATCTTTTTGAAGATTGGTCGCATTCTAGGCCCCAAGACTGTGAAGTGTTTAGGTATGACCAGTGTTTAATATCTTAATCTATTTATAAATTATTAAAAAGCTCTGAGAGCCGAATACATGTGTTTAACAAATAATTAAATTTTGTGTATCATAGTTATGATCCTCTTTAATCATCAGAGTTGCTTCATATTATTAAATGTTTTAACCAAGGAAATTAGTGACAAAGCCTCCTTCCTGATGTTTTTTATTTGTGTATCTTCTTCTGTGTGTTAGGCCTAAGTTATCTGGTTCTTGAAACATATAACAAGCCTTGCTCATTTACTACTGAAACAAGGGGACTTCAGAAAGTTCATGGAAACATGAAATTAAAGGATAAAAATAAAATAATATTCATTTTATTTCTCCATATAAGCTTCATCAAGTTCAAGAGATTTTTGTAAGTAATGATATCAGACATTTAGTTCTTCCCTAAAGAACTGAGGATCCTGGGAATTTAATCATGAAATGCATTTTTTTATATTATTAACATGATATAAAAGAAGAAACATGGCACCATTTACAGACTTTTAAAGATTAGGAAACAAAAAGTCAGAAGGAGCCAAATCAGGACCAAAGGGTGAATGCCTAATGATTTCCCATTGAAACTCTCCAAAAATTGTTCTTGCTTGATGCAAGGAATGAACAGCAGCATTGTTGTGGTGAAGACAGACATTTTGGTGAAGGTTTTCCAGGTGTTATTCTGCAAAAGCTTTCGCTAACTTTCTCTAAACATTCTCATAATAAACAGATGTTATAATTCTTTGGTCCTCCGGAATGCCAAACCAGTGTGCCCAGATCAAAATCCCTTGAATACAACGAAAAACTGTTGTCATGACCTTTATTCTTGACTGGTCCACTTTTGCTTTAACTGGACCACTTTCTACTCTTGGTAGTCATTGCTTTGATTGTGCTTTTTCTTCAGGATCATACTGGTAAAGCCATGTTTCATCTCCTGTTACAATTCTTCCAAGAAATGTTTCAGGACCTTGATTCCACTTGTTTACAATTTTCATTAAAAGCTCTTCTCTTGTCTGCAGCTGATCTGAGCACACTGGTTTGGCATGCATGGAATAGAATGTTTGCTTAACTTTAATTTTTCAGTCAGAATTGTGTAAGCTGAACCAGTTGAGATGTCTATGGTGTTGGCTATAATTTTTGCTGTTAATTATTAGCCCTCTTCATTTAGGGCGTGAAAAAGATTATTTTTTTTCTCACAAATTGATGTGAATGGTCTGCCATCATGGATTTCACCTTCAACAGCATCTTGCCTCTTCTTAAAATGATTTATCCATTAGTAAACTGCTGATTTGTTTGGGGCATTGTCTCCTTAAACTTTTCATAAAGCATCAGTGATTTCACTATTCCTCCATCCAGGCTTTACCATAAATTTGAGGTTTGTTCTTCCTTCAATTTTAGCAGAATTCATGTTGCTCTGATAGTGGCTCTTTTCAAAGTGATGTCTTACCCTTTTTAGGGCCTCAAACTAGATCCTATTCAGACAATTTATAAGTTTATATGGGTTTATTTTGGTGCAAAAATATTTTGAAATTTATGAATCATTTTTTCATATAAATATCTTGCATGAATATTTTGAATACCTTTTATATCCCTGGGTTTTTTCTGCATTCTCTCTGTCTCATTGCTGCACTGACCACAGAAAAGCACTAGGCTTGACTGCTATTGTTGCATTAACTGTCCTGACCCTAACTTTCCTCAGCTACTGTATGTTTCTGTGCTGCACCATTTAGTGATGAGTTCATTTTCTTTTGTGTGCCCTACTTGCTTTGATTTGAGTGGTTTTCGGGTATGCACTTGGGTCAGGTTTCAAGCATGTAGTCCTCTTTGGAATATCAGCACCAAGTCATCATAAAATCACTCAATGGTTGCATTTCCTTTTCTGTATACTACCCATACTATGAAGCCCAGGTATTTTCCAATGAATTATAATAAAAGTCTTCCTAGGGTTACATCTTTTCAGAATAACTGGCATTTGCAGAGTATAGATCTCTGGTACTCGTGACCAGGCTAGTGTGCATCTTGATACGAAGTTGCTTCTGTGTTTTAGACCCAAAGTGATAGCTTTCATGTGGAGAACATTTTTATTGGTACACGTGCCTCAGAACACAAGCTAACAATGGATAATTCTGTGCATTGTCTTTCACTGTTACCTTTTCAAACTTTATTCACAGTTAAGATAGGTACAGAATATATAATTGATAAAAGGATAGTGCTGGTTGTGGTCACATCAAATGGCAACCAAGAGGATGGATTTTCATTAATGTTGGAGGAAAACTAGGTAATCAATACATGAAAAGGTGCTCAGCATCATTAGTCATTAAGAAATTAAATCCACAATCAGAAGCACAATGTTACACAACTTCCCACATCCACTAGGATGGCTATAATCAACAAGATGAGAATGTGCAGAAATGGAAACCTGCATGCATCACTGGTGAAAATGCAAAATGGGCAGCCACTTTGGGAAACAGTCTGGCAGTTCTTCAGAAGGTTAAAGAGAGTTTCCATTTGATTCTGCAGTTCCACTTATAAGTATATACCCGAAAGAAATATGCAAACATGTCCACAAAAACTTATACACATATGTTCTTAGCAGCATCTTTCAAAAAAGTTAAAAAATAGAATAATTCAAATGTCTGTCAACTGATGGATGGATAAATAAAATATAGTATGTCCATATAATGGACTATAGTAGTGCCCCCTTGTCTGTGGGGGATAGCTTCTAACACTCCCACTGGATACCCGAAACTCCAAATAGCACTGAACTCAATATGTAATACGATTTTTCCTATACATATCTACCTATAATACAGTTTATTAATTAGGCAAGGTAAGCAGTAACAACAGTAACTAGTAATAAAGTAGAACAATTGTAGCAATATATCTGCATCACTACTCTTGCACTCTAGGGTCATTCTTGAGTAAAATAAGAGATAGTTGAACACAAGCACTGCAATACCATGACAGACAGTTGACCTGGTGAGACAGCTGCTAAGTGACTAATGGGCAAGGAGTGTCTATGGCATGGATATGCTGGATGAAAGGATGATTCATGTTCATGGCAGAATGGAGTGTGATGGTGTGATATTTCCTCATGCCACTCAGAAGTGTACACAATTTAAAACTTATGAATTTCTTTATTTTTGGAATTTTCATTTTAATATTTTCATACTGAGGTTGACATTAGGCAACTGAAACCATAAGAAGCAAAATCTTGGATAAGAGAGGAAAAGTGTATTGTTCAGCAATAAAAGCAATGTAGTACTGATACCTGGTACAACATGGGTGGCTCTTGAAAACATTATGCTTAGTGAAATAAATTACTTAACAAAAGATTAGTCATTATATGATCCCATTTATATGAACTATTTATAAAAGGCAAATATATAGAGACAGAAAGTACATTAGTGTTTGTCCAGGGAGTAAGGAGAGGGGGAATAGAGAGTGACCATTCATGGATATGGGACTTCTTTTTGTGGTGATACACATGCTCTAAAATTGACTGTGGTGATGTTTGCATAACTCTATAAATTTCCTCAAAACAATGGAATTGTACATTTTAAATGGGTGAATTGCATGGGATGCAAATTATATCTTAATAAAACTGTTCTAAAAACAGATATTAACAATAGCATATTTTCATTTCTTTCCAGATCTTGTGATATTGTCATATATTTTACTTATGCATGTTATATACTCCATATTTTTCAGTGAAAGAAGCAAAAATAGATGTTATATGTGTAAACTGATTTAATTTTATTGACCACCCATCTCTTGCCACCCATTATAAACTTTACGCAAACACATAGTTTTTTAAAATAACCTTTTAGTTGATTCTTCTTTCTTTTTTCTATCATTGGAATCCAAATATTCATGAAACTATTTTGTGGGCATTAATCAGATGCTAAATATTGTGATAGTGCTGGTGACACAGTTATTTGTATCTTTGAGGAGAGTAGGCTGGCGATTGAAAACCAGATTACATAACTAATAGAGCTGGAAGTATATTACGGAGACAGAATTGAACAAAGCCTAGGAGGGCCTCCTTTTCTACTCTCAATTTCTGTGCTTGATAATGTAATGCTTGGGCAAATCACTCAAAGTCTATTGGCTTTCAAATATCTTTAGACCTTAAATCTTTAGTAATTTTACATTGATACCTTTCTACTCCTGATAACTTGAATGATGTTTATTCTTGAGTCACGTATACAATTGTATTTTTCTTCTTCACGATTGACTTTTGGACATTACCAAATATTACCATGTAAGAAAATTTCTATCTACATTTAATTTTAGCAATGGGTGTGTACATAGACATATTTGAACTCTGTCTTCAAATCGTATTGCAAATTCATCAATCATTGTCCATTTTCACTGCCAACACTATTATGTATTGTCTACAAAGAATGGCAACAATGATGAAAACATTACTTATCTTCGTTATTCCGCTAGCCACACATGGTCATTGAGAACTTGAAATGTGATTAATGTGCCTGAGATTTTGAATTTCAAATTTGATTTGATTTTAATGTACTTAAATTTAAATTTGAATGACTTCATATATATTGTACAGAGCAGGCCTAAAGCTCACTGTTTGTACTCTGGAATCTCTACCAGGCCATTGTTTCCATCACAGGTGTCAAAACATTTTTTTCTCAGTGATAGATTAAATTACATCTATCTTTTATAAAATGCTACCATGTCTTCACATTGCATGTTGATCTGGCCATTGTTTATGTCTTTAAACTCATCCCATACCACTTCTCTCGTCTCTGTTCCAGCCACTTTAGATTTTATCTATTTCTCAACCATGCTATGATCACTTCACTCTCAGGCATTTTCTCCTGCCTGAAATGCTCAACTCATAATAACGTGCCCATTTTTCTTTTAATTTAGATCTTATCTGAAATATCCATTTTGAAGAGATACCTATCCATTTTAAAGAGATACCTGATTATTGAATCAATGGAACCTTCTCCCTCACCAGTTTTTACAATAGTAACCTGTTTGTTTTGTTCATGGCATATATCACTATTCGAGGTTACTTATGTTTAATGTCTATCTCCCTCACTAGAATACAAGCAGCAGAGAACTTTTATATGTTTTTCATTCCTGTGTCTCCAACATCAAGGGTGACATCTTGGTATCAATGAAGAACATATAGCTGGCTTTATTCTGAATTACTAAGTCATGTTTTTGTAGTTGACATTGCTCATTTTGATTTCCAGCTAACACTGGAAAGATTAAGCATGAATTCCTAAGACTTGCACAATTAAACCTCAAAGGATAGTACCATTTTTAGTTAAATTGATCATATCCTTTTTTAGTCTCCATTCTTTCTAAATGCAGCTACAAATCTGAGTATGATAGCCTTTAATCCATAAAGACAACAAAGCAAAAATAAAGTTTGAAACTTTCAAATTATATCCAAAACAAATTCTACATATAGTGATACACTGTTGCCTTGTGACAGTGATTGGTCAGTAGGATGATTTCTTCCTTACTTCTATCATTTGAGTTGTATTTTTTTCTCATTCATTTATAGTGATGAGAGTGACTTGAATATTTAAAGTGGCTTCTAGGGAATCAAAAATGTAACCGTAGATCTTAAACTTTGCAGAATTGTTAGTTGTATTGTTTAAATTAGACAAATATCTTTTCATGGAAAGTTTTGAAGAAAATTAAGGAGACTAGTTGAGACCCTCCAATCGGAAACATAGATTTAGGGTAGGTTCTTGGCAGATGTTTCTACGTTCATCAGACCATGTGGCCAGCACTAGCTACTTGTCACATCATCATCATCATCATCATCATCAGCATCGCTGCCACCATTGAACATTGATGAAGTATGTATTGTGAGGAAGGCATTGTGGTAGTGCTTTAAAATTTGTATGCAAATTAAGTAGTTGTTGACCACCCATTATATAGCCTTGTGATCCCAAGCTCCATAAAAAATGGTTATCCCAGGCTCCATTAAAACAGTCTATAAACGAATCAAAATTCAACACATAATAATTTTTGACATTTTTCAAATGTCAAAAAAGTAACTCAGAAAAAAGTAACTATGACTATGAGTAATCTCATTAATATAATTTTTAAAGCTTCAGGCATTGTAATGTATAATGGTTAAGAACTTGGATTCCTGAATAAAAATGCTCTTGTTCAAATCCTTACGAATGGGGTTTCAAGGCAAGTTATTCAATTTCTCTAAGGCATGATTTTGCATCTGTAAAATGGGGATAATAATGTAATCTATGTTATAGAATTTTTTTAGCCAAGATGAATTGAGATGCTATAAATATAAAATTATTGTATCTGGCTCAAAATATATGCTTAATAAATATTGGTGGTTTCTTCCATTGTTTTTAATTTTTTCTCCATGATGCAAATATTAGAGGAAAAACCCCATCACTTTATTCAACAAAAGTCAAATACATTACAGGAGATAATACACATGTGACTGTACGTGACTGGTGGTTAATAGTTGGTTAACATTTGCTAAATCAGTTAGACAAAATATTGTGTCAGACAATGTTTGATGCACAACAGGTATTATGTTTTGTAAATTAATATAGAAAAAATAATAATCTTTCAGGAAATAATGACTTCTGTTATAATATTAACTTCTGCTCTTCAGATTCTCAGTGATAAATGATATGATAATTATAATATTCTGATTTTGGCTTTCTCAGAAGCATGATATGAGATTCAAGAAGAAAAAATTAAAACACTGTTAAAAACATAGCTAATGGCATAGCATTAATATTTTGAATTATTATTCTTAGTTTTCCTCTAGTGCCACAAAATAACATAATCATTTATCCGTAATGGTACTTAATGAAATTTGACTTCATTTTGTACATCCTATTTTGTAGTACAAGTAAAAATGTATTTCTTATAACTCTCAAGATTTGATACGGAAGTTATAGATCCTCCCATACCTGAATCAAAATTGCTTAGCTTCCTAAAATTATAACTTCCTGATGGACAGAGTAAGAAATTACTCTGTGAGGAACATATCTGTATTTTTACCAAATCTACAAAGGAACAGTCCATTGTGTTATTCAGTGAAATTCTACATTATATATACTTTAAAAACACCTATATAAATGTCTATTTCCTTAGAGGAGCTTACAGGGTTTCTTTACAAGTCAAAAGCTCAACACATCCCCTCCTATTTTTCACAAACCTTAGGTACTTGGAGAGTGATATGGACTGAATTGTGCCTTCATTCCCCCAAATTTGTAGGTTGAAGCTGTAACCCAAAATGTGACTATATTTGAAAACTGAGTTTTTAGGGAGTTAATTAAGTTAAATGAGGTCATATAAGTGGTTGCTAATCTCACAGATCTGCTCTCTATGAGACAAGAAAGAGTCATGGAGCTCTCTGTCTCTCCAAGTGCACACAGAAGAAAGGCCATGTGAGGGCATAGCTAGATGGCAGCTAGTTATAAGCCAGCAAGAGTGGCCTCACCGGGAGCCATCCTGGCCGACACCTTGATGTGGGGCCTCTATCCTCCAGAACTATGAGGACTTTTCTACAATAAGCCATCCAGCCTATGGTTATTTTGTTACGGCAGGTTGAGCTAACTAAGAGGGTTAAGGAGTGTTAAATGGAATTTAGATTCCATCTCCAGTTCTTGGCACCATCATTTCTTCTTTCTAAATGTGCTCTATCACAGTTTACTTTTACGTATTTTTAAAAAATGTTCTTTTAAATAAATGTTTGCATGGCATAAGTCACATAGTAGGGGTAGGTAGAAAATCTAGTGTATCCCTGAGTCTTCATTTTCTTTTCTGTAGGAGTAATTACAGTTCTCACATTATAGGGTGTTTGTGAGATGAGATAATCAGATAAAGCACTTAGTGTCTGGGACATAGTAAATATTATACTATGTTGGTATTTTAGCTATTGTTATTTGGTAAAAATAATTTATAGTTACCTCAAAACATCATTATTACTAATTTCTGTGATTTTATTTACAATGTAAAGGTATGTTATTGAAAAAAATCTATCTTGGATTTTTTTGTTTGTTTCCCTTTTGTTTGATTTTTTTTTCTTTTTTTTTACCATAAAACTCCTCTTGTGAATATATTAGTGTAGACAATGCCGTCCCTCTCCCAAATACACACTTGTGATGGTGGTGGCAGCCAATCTGGAGCAACCGCTGAAATGACAACAGCTGTAGTGGGAGAGGTATGGCTGGGGCTGCATGCTCTGCAGAGCCTGCAGGGGCTGGGAACAGGTGATCCCCAGCGACAGCCCCACGCCCTATTGAGTTGGCAGGGTTGGAGCCCATGGTCATGGGCCCAGCTGCAGCCACCCAACCATGACTGCAGACCCAGACATCCCTGCACTCTTGGGGCCCCAGGAGCCCCCCTGCCCCTGAAGGCTCAGCAGTGCCTGCTCCTGTTCACTGGCCTCTCCCTGCTTCCAGTGCCTGCTCCAGTGCGGAGCAAAGTTGTGGCCAAGTCTGGACACTGTCGCAACCTGGTCAGGTATGCACACTCTTGGGGTGGTGCTGACACACCAGATCCCCACTGACTCACCCCCGTCTGGACTTTGGGTGCCAATGAGTGCAGGAGGGATGGCGGAGGGGCTGAGGACAGCTTGGCACAGGCCTGTGGGCGCACCCTTCAGCACATACAGCCTGGGCACTGCAGGCCTGCCCATGGCTGCGTGTGTACCAGTTAGCATACACTTTCTCCATTCTGTGCATATAAAAACCCTAGAGTTAGCCAGACTCAGACACTTGTTGGGACGGCCTACCTGCGGAAAGAAACTACTCACTTTGGGTCTCGTGAGAACTGTTCTGTCACTCAATAAAGCTCCTCTCCGCCTTCCTCACCCTCCACTTGTCTGCATAACCTCATTCTTCCTGGATGTGGGACCAGAACTCAGGACCTTCTGAATGGTGGGAGCAAAAGAAGCTGTAACACGTTCCTGGCCTGCTTGCTAAGCTGTGGCCAGTGACATGCTCCCAGACTTTAGGAGTGAAGAGTGGTGATCCTGGGGGTCCAGACCTCGGGATTCCTCCAGCCAGAGCTGCTATAACACTATAGCCCTCCTGCCCTCTGCCAGCAGTGTTGGGTGGCTGCCCAATGCAATAGGAAGCAGCAGCAGGGCTGGACCAGCCAAGGAGCTTCCAGCCAGAGTTGGGTGTTGGGATTGAGAAAGCTGTAACTCAAATGGGCTGAAACACCCCCTGCCCTCAAACACACCCCTCCACTTGCTGCCCTATGGGCAATGAGGAGAGAAGAACTGTGGCCTCTCTGGGAGCCCAGACCTCAGGGCTCCCTGAACCAGGGCTGTGACATGCTGTAACACCCTCTTTGGGGCTATGTGGCTCCTGGTGTCTCTGAGATTTCGGGCACCAACACATTCTCCTCATCTAAAGGCTGGTGTCCGAAGTGGAAGTTGCTTGCGTACATCTGTTCCAGCCACAGCCTTGCACAAAGCTGACACCTGTGCCAGTGCCTGGAGCTACCTGTCTCACCACAGCAGCCAGTGTGCCTGGCTGTATGCAGTATCTGGACCCCTGTGCTCAGTCGCTCACACACCCCTCGCTGTTCCACGCCTGGCTTGCCCTTGGCAGGTGTGGGATCCAGGGTAGTAATGTGAGCTGATCACAGCCTGCTGGACCAAGTGGGCGGGACGAGCCCAGTGGGCACGAACAAAATTCAAACAGAGGTATTGCTGGCCACAGAGGTTTCTGGCTGGCGTAGCAACACCCTAAGGATCCCGTGACATTTCCACACAAACACACATATACACTTAATAATGCTTGATAGGAAAGATAAAATACCTTTATCAGATATCTAGATTTGAAACCCATCTGTGCTATTTAGTAACTTTGTGACCTTGAATTCCTTAATTTCTTGGTTTTAGACTTTTGGTGTATAAAATAGAGATAATATTACTTACTTTTTGGGAAGATTAAACAAATTAATGCATATAATACAGTTCAAATAATGCCCAATACATAACAAATATCATAAACATTAGTTATTTGCAGGTAAAAGTTATTATATATCCTTATATACCTGGCTTTGGAAAGCATTCAGTTAATATACTTCACACTAAATCTCATTAAACTTAGTGAGTAATGCACTATTTTAAAAGGTGGCAGTTCTCTTTTGCAGGAGTTACTGATTAAATGTGTTTTATTTATGAAACAAAGAGAAAAAGAATAATTTTATTCTAATGCATATCTGTGATACTACCAACTTATAATATTTGCTAATGAATTATTCCAGAATAATGGAGGAAAATATACAGCAAGAGCCTTGGTATTTGCCAACCTCTTAGGGAAAGCAATTTGAGTTCTTTATATTCTGTGTGAATATTCAGGATAAGGGCATGGGGTAGGCCTTTGCTTTACTAGCACCATTTGAGACTCTGGTAAACGAATTTTCTAAAAGTGATCTATGTTAGCCCTCCTTGATTAAGTTAAATGAATTCCAGTCATCCCTCTGGCCTTAATGTTACTTACTGAAAGAAGAGTGACCTAATGATCATAGTGAATTGGGTTTAATTGCACTTATTACAGTTTGTATGTAATTTGCAATTATTTAGTGGTTTTTATTGTTGCTATTGCTATTGTTGCTTAGAGCAATTTAAGGAACAGTCTCTGCCATGTGAAATGACATAAAATTGTACAGATATTATTTTCTATCCTGAAGTGTGAATAGTGGGAGGTAGTAAAAGATGGGGAAAAGGGTCACTGAATAGTAAGTAAGAAGAAGCAAATTGATTGGCAGAAAACTTAGCTCTGTTGAGATTGCCTATAGAATACAATGAAATTGGTTGATAGAGTTATTTATTTGGGGAAAGAGTGAAAAGGTAAAGATAAGGCATTGATTATTTAGCATTAGTCAAGTATGATGGAAAAAATACCTGTTTTGTACCTGCATTTGAAATTAGAAAAATAATTACTAGTAACAATTCCCTATTTAAAAACATTGACACTTTTATTTTTTTATTCTTTTTTTGGGGGGGTTGGGGGACGGAGTCTTGCTCTGTCGCCCAGGCCGGAGTGCAGTAGTGCCATCTTGGCTCACTACAAGCTCCGCCTCCCAGGTTCACACCATTTTCCTGCCTCAGCCTCCTGAGTAGCTGGGACTACAGGCGCCCGCTACCAAGCCCGGCTAATTTTTTTTTGTATTTTTAGTAGAGACGGGGTTTCACCGTGTTAGCCAGGGTGGTCTCGATCTCCTGACCTCGTGATCCGCCTTCCTCGGCCTCCCAAAGTGCTGGGGATTACAGGCGTGAGCCACTGCACCCGGCCGACTCTTTTAAAACATTTTAATTTTAAATATTATTATAAATATAGAGCCATCACCACCGCCACATCACATTTATATCAACCACCACTGGTAAATTTACTATCTTATGAAAAGATGAAATAAATATTAAGTTCACAGGATGATAAGGAGAAATAAATACAATGCCATTGCTTTTTATGATAAGTTCAGCTATCAGGGAGAGACTTTCAGGTAAAATAGGCAAATATCTTCAAAATGTAATTGAGAGACAAAGGGATGAAGTATTTGTCCAAAACTATCTTCAAGTTTTTGAATAATCTTTGCAAGTGTATGGTAGTAGGAGTTCTGTTGAATTGGGAGTAAGAAATGCTGAAAGTTTTTAGTTCCTTAAAAAATATGCATTTCTCAATGTGTATCTTTTTCTAAGACAATCTCTTAAAATTTTTCTAAAAATGCAAATAGTACTATCAGGATTGACATTATATTTGTTTTGCTTGTGATCATTCTGTAAATTTTACATTTCAGTTATTATTAAATATAGTAAATTCACCAACAGTGGTAGTGGCTTAGTGTACAGCACATAGAGTATGCACAAAAATACATTTAAAATTAAATTCTTAGCCAAATATAGTAAATTAAAGACCTGAAGTCTGGATACTGAGCAACCACTGTTTGACACGTCTTTAAATATATCATAATGCACATAATCTAGAATATCATTACACTTGATGTAAACAAACTTCAGAATAACCAAAAGAAAACCTTTGTTAAATTCACCACTTGAATGATCAAATATTTCTAATGGTTTTGTTGTTTTATTCTAAATAAATTGGTAATAGATAATCATGATACTATGTATGCAATTTCAGAATAAATTTAATATATAATATTCAAAATAATTTCATCTGCTGGGAGTTAACACTAGACGTTTTTGTGTTTTTACTCTAACATAAAAAGTGTAATTTTACAAATATATAAGATACTGATAAGATTGGAATAATACTGTAATTTATGTTTCCTGCTTTGACTTTTACTCAATAATACACTGTATATATTACCTCATAAAGTTATTTTTCCCTGAATATCACATTACAGACTGTAATAATTGAACATTTGTACATATTTTATTCAATTCTCTCTATATTGTGGAATTATCTGCTTTATAAACAATTAATTGCTATTATGAATCATGTTTTGATGGGCATTCTTGCAAATAGATCTTGATTATTTTCCTAGGGTAGCTTTCTTTGAGTGAATACAGCTGTTTTGAAATTAATATATTTTAAAGGACTTTGAAATATACCTGAATGTTTCAATGTAGCTCAGGAAATGTGTTTTGAATATGGGACTTAATCTGAATAAGAGCTATATGGATCCTTATAGTATAGACCCCATAAAGATTATATTTTGGTATCCTATGTTGGCAACTGATCTTCCACTCTACTTGCTTTAAACCATTGTCTCCCAATTTTCATTCATATAACAGTCAGTTTTCCCAGGCTGCGTTCAAAATGTACTATATGATATGCTTCAAAATGTCAAAGTTCTCACCAATCCTAATTGCTTACTAATTTGTATCTTCTCCTTTTTTATTTCTCAGAATATGTCAGAGTTGCTGTATATCTAGCTTAATTAGTATGAAGGTTTACAGATTTATACATGTTCTTTGTTTCTTTGCACTACCTATTTCTACAGTTTTATCAATCAACATGGGAGAAAAGGAAGTAAATATTAGAATGAAAGGCCATAACGAAGCAGATATCACAAATTTCAGATTACATGCAGCTCAGGATACAGTATTGCAGAGTATTGTGGACAAAAGTGTTTGTGGTATTCTAATGTTCATTGGACAAAAACATATAGTTATGTCTGTCTTGCTAACTCTTACTGGGTCAGAGCAAGGGGCACCACTAAAAGCATGAAAATAAATATATATTAAATTATGCTAAAAGGGTGTATCTGCATCTATCTATCTATCTATCTATCTATCTATCTATCTATCTATCTATCTAATCTGTCCACTCATAAAGGTAGTTATGTTTATCTTTTTCCTTTTTAAGAAAAATACTTTAGAAACAAATGTAATTACAAATTCAAATTATGAGGTTTAGCACCAGAGTATGCCTACATGCCAAAATACTTTGCAAAAAATTCTTACCTTTATTTCTACCAATAATATGTGAGAGATTATTCCACTGAATGCTTAGAATAATTATTTATTATGGTTTGTTTTGTTCTGCTTCTTTGCTTCAATTTGAAGGGCAAAAACAATAAAAATAAAAACAACAACAAAAAACATTTTCCTGATGACTAGTGGTGAGTGTTGACTATTTTTCATGTTCATTAGCTATTTTCATTTCCTCATGTATAATTGGTGTATCTATAGCTTTGCTCATTGTTTGCCCATGTGGTAATTAAGATTTTGTTACAGTGCATGATGTAAGGCTTATAAAAATTAATGATATTAACCCAATATATTTTTCATGTCTTACTTGAGAAATTTTATTCAAAATATAAGAGTAAATGTTATAGATTGTTTTTTAGTTAGATTTGTAGAATTTTCAGTGATACGGTATTTTAGAAAGGCCTTCCACAACCCTGAATATAAATAAGAGAGTCACATTAAACTTGCTTTTATTATTTTTCTTGCTGTTAAGGTGTAAGTATCTGGTTTCCTTCTCTCTTGCCTCATAGTCAATGAGACATTCTTTAGACCAGCATCTTGGTCAAATACTAACTTTGTGTCCAATGTGTTACTTGTCCTTTTTCCTCTTTATAAATTAAGAACTCTCAAAGATAATCAATAAATCATATATTGCATACGTAAAAAGCTTACGATTTTATTACCATCTTTCATAAAGTTGAAAAACAAAGTATGGATAATTTTCTGAATTAATTAAAAAAGCAAATCAATAGTTCCTTAAATTTTAATGATAATAACAGGCTTAGGCTCACAAACTTCAGACTTCTTTATTTGTTTCCAAATTTCTTCTTAAAAAATTCCAACTCTTCACTATGGCTGAGGGCTAGAACCATGGAAAACTCCAGTGAAGCTAGCTCATTCCTAGACGTTTGCCAATGCAAGTTAAAATTGGTTGTACTGTATTTCCTTTATAGCAAAGGAATGTAATTTCTCAGGTAAGATCTTATATTATATATTCATGGGAAGTGTATGCTCAACGAACTAAGTAAATTTGTGTCCCTCCCACTTCCATGTGTTTCTTATTTAATAGTATTTTACTTTAGTATTTTGTTATCACTTAAAATAGAAATGGTTTTTAAATTTCAATAATCTTTAAAAATTGGAAATTATAAAATAATTTAATGTCTTATTTTAAGTCATTTACATTAAAAACTTAAAATAAGTTAAGTTACTTAATGTTACTTAATGTTTTATATACACACTTAATGTTTTACATACACATACAATGTGTATATTTAATATAGACATTAATGTATATAATTCACTTATATACATTATATACACTTAATGTTTTATACATACACACAAACACATACATACACCGGGCTGCTCCCTTAGGTTCAAGGAAAAGAAACATGTAGAGAGAGTAACACTTTATGATCTAGGTGTGTATGTGGGCAGGTTGAATAGATGTGCCTAAATTTTGAGTTTAGTGGGATGAAGAATTATGATACTGATGAAAGAAATGTGGAACTCTAGACGTTTGTAAGAAGAAGGGATCAGAAAATAACAGTCTGTGTATCAGTGGTGTAGTTGCCCTCAACGTCATGTAACACATGATTTCTTTTTTTTTTTTTTTCAAACTTTCCTGTTGCTTTTGGATAGTGAATTGCCTTAGAAGATGGGTATGGGTGGTTGGGCATACAGCTTAAAGTAAGAGAAGAATTGTAAATCAGACAACTTTTTCTAATCCATTCCATCAATATTGGGAAAGCCTTTTAAATGTCTCTGATTTATATGATGATATTGCTACCAGCTTTCCACCTCCCTTGGGTCCATGGTCTCATCTCCTTTCCCCACATATCATTTCAACTAAAGCCCTGATGATCCTGAGAAAGGCAAACCTCTTAGAGGCTGCTGCAGCACTAGCTGAATGCTCTTTGTTTTGGGGCTTGCTCTAATTTGGGACCCCAGGAACGTTTCTTCATGAATGCTTGCCTATGTAGTTTTTTTAATATTTGTTACATTTTACCCAGCTTTTTGAAGCTTTTGTTTTATTTTTGCCTTATTTTTATTTTGTTTATGCATCACTAAGATTTACAGGTTATCTTTTTGATATATTGGCACAAATGGAATATCTTGGCCAGAAGATATTCCATTATTTAATCAGTCTATTCATTTGAATAAGAGAAGTACTGGTTTGGTCACACCATTTCCATAAGAAACTAACCTCTAATTTATTTATTTACTTGTAAAGTATGTGAATCTGACTTTGAGCATCAGCACAGAATGTCTGCATCCAGGTTCTTGCTAGGGAATAGAACCTTGAATTGCTTTTCTCTGCCAGGAAGAAACAACATTCAAGGATGAATGCATGAAGAGTAATCTAGTGCTCTCAAAGTTTAAAATGTAACCCACAGACAGACCACAAGAGAGTAGACATTTGATACTCATTGTTTCAATGTTTTCTTGCTTTTACTGCATTTGATTTGAGATCGTGCTCTTGAATTGCATTGATTGACACTATATAAACAACTGCATGGAATTATTCCTTGTATTATAGGAAGGGTGCTGAGATAATTTTCCACAAAATCACTCTGCCTTTTATGAATATTCAAGACAAATGCATCTAAGAACTCTATGCCAGGAAAATTTTCACTTTTGTTGAGCAATTGGTTTGTTGTTGTCTCATGGGCAGCATGAATCTTATAAGTGATTATGTTTTCCTTATTCTTTGTCTGTAATGAAGTACAGCTCGTTTTATTTTTTAGACCCCATAAAATGCATTTCTGCATTAGAAACATTTCTCTCATATATTATAAATGCATCCCTTTTAAACATTATTCTATTAATATTTTAAAATATCCATACTTATAATTAACCTCAAACACTCCATGAAATAGAGCATATATTAGTAAATTAAAACAGTGGCACAATATAATGACACAAATTTGAGTTTGTTGGGGAATCATACTTAAAATCTAAATCTTCTCTCAACTCAGAAATGTTCTTTACAAAGGTAGTAGAGAGAGAAGGGGAAAAACACTTTAATATTGATTAAGCATTAAACTAAAATGGGATATGCATCCCAGTCCACCTGCTAGGAGACAGCAAAGACATAAAGACACTTCAACCCCTTACATAGCCAAGCAGCTACAACCCATTACATACAAGTTTCGATATAAACAATAACTAGTCGTCAAGTCTTCAAGTAAGATAACTTGACAGCACCATTTGTCACACATAATTCATTCTAACTTTACCTGGTAATTTGGGTGACCATCTGTGTTAGTTAATTGGTTTTATTCAGGAAAACAACAACAACAACAACAACAACAACAAAACTTCTCATATGTTTATGACAGGAGGTAGTTTTGCAACTTGGAGCAAGGAACCCCCAGAAATTAGACTCCTATCCTCCCAAACAGACTTGGAGATGGGGTGCAATTTCCATTGACGTTAAGTGTTTCAAAGTGTTGAAAGGAAAACTTCAGACAAATTAAATTTAACAGAGTTTAATTAAGCAAAGAACAGTTCACAAACTGGGAAGTCCCCACTTCCAACGAGAATAGACTCAGAATGATTTTGGTGCTGCCTATCATCAGAGAGGATTTATGGACCAAAAAAGAAGTGGCATACAGGGCACAGAAGTGAGGTACAGGAATAGTTAAATTGGTTACAGTTGTATGTTTGCATTTTTTAATGTAAGTTGAACAGTTAGCCACCTTTGATTGGCTGAAACTCTGTCATTGGCACAAGAGTAGGTTACAGTCTATTTACATCAGTTAGGTTACAGTTCATTACGTATGGATAAATCAGGCAAAACTTAAAATTTGTATGGAGGCAGCTTTAGGCTAAACTGATAACAAAAACTAAACTTAATTTAACAAAGGAAATGGCTCTCAGAGCCTTGAGAAAGATATTCATGGATCATAAAGCCAACAAAGGCCTATATAGTTTTCAAAAGAGAGGAGAAAGTGCTTAACTTTTCCAGTGTGAGTGCTCTAAGAAAAAGGAAAAGAGGAAAATTTCTTCGCTACTTTCAACAGGGAGAGTTAAGCCTCATGCTTTTAATTTGCATTTTCTCTTACAAGTTCTTGATAAATACATTAAAAATAATAACAATAAATATATATTTTAGTTAAATTATCACAAAATATCCAATTACAGATATTTTTACTGTATTATTACTTTTTAAAAAAATAAGAACATAATCCTTAAGTAGTCTGGAACATTGGGCACATTTTTAACCTACAATTAAGAACATAATTAGTTGATTGGGTTCCTGGTCAACCCAACGATGATCTATAGCTTGAATGAATCAATCTATAGCTTGAAAGAATTGTATTAGTAGCCCATGTTCTGGTTCCTAACAGCAGAGATAAATGCTGTGTGGTCAGGTAATAAGGAAAGAAAGCCTACTTCCTTTTTCCTGGATATAGGACTGAACTTGAACGTGTGATGAATATAACTCATTTGTTTAGTGCTGTATGTTTTTCTGTACCTTTTCTCTGTTTGCCTCTTTTCAGCACCCTGTATGCCCTGGTCATATTCTGTGAAACTAAATTTTTGCCCTACTATGCTCCTTTAATTCAATGTACAAATTTATGTGCTGTGCTCCTGTGTATTAAATCTTTGCCATTTCTTCTGTGTACCTGTCCCAGCTTAGTGTGAGAAGGAATGCATCCTGTTGAACAAACGTAAACACGTGTGTAAATGGCTGAAAAAGAATCTATAACCCTCTTAGGCAAGTTTTCATTATCAACAGAGAGGTTTCTTAAGTCAACTGAATCCTCAAGCTTTTAAATTTAGCAGTTTACTAAAGGATGCATATAATTCAAGCTGAGGGCCAGAAGATATTTTGGATACAGTGATGCTACTCTGAAGACATACTAGCTCAGTTAGATGTCTTGCCTTGGGATAAGTTTGTCTGAGTCATTCCTGATTTTCATGGCTAACAGGCATATGCTTCTTCACCTTCATGTCCCCAAAAACTATTTTTTTGCTCAGGATTTTGCTTGTTTGTTAGTTTCATTTTTGTTTCTGGAAAGGGGTCCTGATCCAGTCCCCAAGAGAGGGTTCTTGGTTCTTGTGCAAGAAAGAATTAGAGGCAAGTCCATAAAGCGAAAGCAAGCTTATTAAGAAAGTAAAGGAATAAAGAATGGCTACTCCATTGGCAGAGAAGCCCCAAGGGCTGCTGGTTGCTGATTTTTATGGTTATTTATTGATTATATGCTAAACAAAGGGTGGGTTATTTATGCCTCACCTTTTTAGACCATATAGGGTAACTTCCCGATGTTGCACTGGCAGTTGTACACTGTTATGGCACTCAAGGGAGTGTAGCAGTGAGGATGACCAGAGGTCACTCTTATCACCCTCTTGGTTTTGGGGGGTTTTAGCCAACGTATTTACTGCAACCTGTTTTATCAGCAAGGTCTTTATGAACTGTATCTTGTGCAGACCTTCTGTCTCATCCTGTGAATCAGAATGCCTAACTCTCTGGGAATGCAGCCCAGTGGGTCTCAGGTTTATTTTAAGTAGCCTCTATACAAGATAGAGAGTAGTTCTGGTTTAAAAGCTTCTGAGATTTTTCCTCCAATGGAGTGGCAGCAAGGCTGGTGCAGGAGGAGAGCTGAGCAAGCAGGCAGAGCAGAACTGTTTATCTTATATGAGTGGTTCTTGGTAGTGACTATAAGCAAATAAGTCATCAGACACACACCCAGGAAGATAAGTTTTTCTACCAAAACATGAGGAATCACTGGGAGTTTTTTTTTTCCCAGAAAAATTAAATATAGTTTGTCTTCTGTCAAAATTAATTTAATTGAAGAGTAGGAAGTACTACCCTTCAATTCCACTTTAGAGTACAAAAAATGTTAACTGCTTTCCTTTGTAATTGTCTTTATCACTCATGTTGCAATTAGTTTAGCCTAATCCACCTTTCCCTTATTACCAGTGGATGTATTGCAAAGCAGAGAGAAAAGAGCGCTCATGTGTTGAAAAAATTATTATCTATGAAATTAACTGTTTAAGTCAAAATTCTCTTTTGTTTTAATGAAAAAGGCTTAGGCTTCCGTTATTTCCAAGGAAAAGGAAAGGTGCTCCTGAGCTTTTTGAATGTATATCAGGGAGGAGACTTCATTTCCTATACAATTAAAAGTTTTGTGGTATTGGATGGAGAACCATGTTAATAATGTATCTCCCCTTGAGGCAAGAAAGTGGAAAAATTAGTGTGGGCTAATGAAGGATAAGATTTTCACTTTATCAATTCACCAACACAGTTTTTTGTATATATTCAATTCTGTATAATGAAAATTGAGTTGTAACAGTTTTTTTTCCACTGGTTTAAATTTATAGTATTTTGCTACTTATGGGTTTAATTGAAATCTATATATTAAGGCTCTTTCATCTACATGAGAACTAGCCCATGTTGGTATATAAAATCTGTAATGAGATATAAGTTTGCCGTTTCTTATCTTACTTTAAACTGTTTATTAGGATTCCTCAAAAACATAGACTTAAATATATGAAGGAAATTTTTCATATATGTGCACTAATCTTTACAAGTAATATTTATGTAAAATTAGATATTTTATTTTAAAAAATGCAATGATTCTTTTACCTCTGACAGTTTATGCAATTCAAGGAAAATAGTTCGATGCCTTCCTTCATCCCCTAGAATATCTTTTATTATCCATTAATGATAATATAATAATAATATTAGGAGATTTTTATTAAGATCTCCTGGGCTGGGTGTGGTGGCTCATGCCTATAATCCTAGCATTTTGGGAAGCCAAGGCAGGTGGATTGCGTGAGCTTAGGAGTTTGAGACCAGCCTGAACATGGGGAAACCCTGTCTCTACTAAAATACAAAAAAATTAGCTGGGCATGGTGGCATGCACTTGTAATTCCAGGTATTTGGGAGGCCGAGGCAGGAGAATCACTTGAACCCAGGAGGCGGAAGTTACAGCAGTGAGCCGAGATCACGCCATTGTACTCCAGCCTGAGAGACAGAGCGAGACTCTATCTCAAAAAAAAAAAAAAATTCTTCAGATGAGCCAGGTATATCATCTAGAGCTTTTTCTACATATCCTCAAAGGCAACACTGTGAAGTGGATGTCATCTTTTTTCAAAGAAGAGAAAACTGTGACTTAGGGAGATTCAGTCCCTCAAGCAAGGTGACACAGCTAAAAGGTGACAAAACCTAGATTTAAAGATCCATCAGCTAACTTCAAGGTCATTATGTTGTGCTGCTTCCCAGGGACTAGAGCAACCAACATGCACCTGCAATGTGTTTCTTCCCAAGAAAAAGTACTATTGAAGAGGCTGAACTAGAAAGAACACAGATAATAGTGGATTAATAGGAAAACTAGGAGGAGGGTTTAAATTTTATATACCAGTCTGTTAGGACACTGTGGAAATATTCACTAGTTTATTTAAAGGAAAAAACAATATTTTTAGATAAACATGTATTTATCCCTCTTTCTTTCATTCAGTTGGAGTGGTCAGTCTGTTCAAGGCACTACAACTCAGGGGGCTAGAGAGGGGAATGGGGAGACATGGGCCCTGTTGCCAAGGCAATTTAAAAATGTGTGCCTCACCTTTATCATACTTCTGCATTTTAGGGAAAAATCAAAGACGTGATTTATGTATCAGAATATTTTCTTATAAAATTATTTCTAATAAGAAATCTGGACATAAACTAAAACTCCCTGAAAACAAAGAAATTAAATAATTGTAAGTCATTTTAGAGAAAAATTTTATATATATTTCTAGAAAAATTCTTAAGATAAAATGTTAATGAAAAAGGTATACAACTGTATCCTTAGTATATTCCCAATAGTGAGAAATCTGTTAATATATACATATATTATATACACATTTATATATATATATGCAAAGCCATAAGAAAATATAGAAAAAACACAATTACTTGTTGTAGAATTATTACCAAATTGTCAGGGGTTCTGCCTTGGTCCTGCTACTGGCTGCACAGAAAGCCAATCACTGAGACAATGAATATTGACAGGGAAGAAGGCTTTATTCATGTACTGTGGCCAAGGAGATTGAAGATCAGTCTGAAATCTGTCTCCATAATGGACTAAAATTAAGGTTGTATATTGCAGGGAAAAAACATAAACGTGTGGGAAAGCAAATGAGGGAGGGGAAAGGAAAAGGAGTTTGTCAACAGGAAGCAGGTGGTCAGTTAGGCAGTCATGATGGGTGAGGCATCTGGCATGTCATTGTCCAGATGTGATGATTTGGTAAGTTTCAGTTCCTTGACACCATCTAGGAGGCCAGAGGTTGGTTTCCCGAGAAAGGAACTCATATAAGACAACTAACTTTCTCAAGTTTTAAGACTAGAGGGTCAATTTTTATATTTATTCAAAATATACCATAGACATCACTTTTTGGGAAAATTGGACTGATTTCAGAATTAAAAGTTATTTTAAGAAGTATTTCTATTCTGTCTACTTTTTCCACTTATCATGAAGAAAATTAAATATAAATTTAAAAAATTATATTAAAATAGTGATTTCAAAATACTAAATTGATGGCATTTCTTGAGTTTCTTTTAATATTTCTAGTGGAAAATACAATTTAATTTTATAACTGGCACATATAAACAAGTCAGTTCAATAATTTTCACTAGAATACTAAAAGTTTCTTTCAACTAAAATGTGCAAACCACTGTGTAGGTGATATAGAAATAAGATTTTATAAGGACCCTGCACTTGAATAATGCCTTTAGCATAGTAATGCTCAGTAAAAAATTGAAGGATGGATGAAGAGAGGGTGATGGATGAAGGAAGGAAAGGAATCAAGAAGAGAGGAAGTGGGGAGGGAATCTCCAATACAAAGTTTAATACATAACTGGAGTATTTAGGAAGAAAGCAATCAATGCTATAATTGATACATAATGTAAATGTTGATTAGAGTTTAGTGCTCAGGGGATTCCTATAGACTGTAATATGAATGATGAGTTTGATATTAGCAGGCACAGAATGTTGAGCATTGTAGGCAAGCACATTGGAGAGCACAGAGTGATTTGAAATATCAGATGGCTTAATTTATCTGCCGTGTGTTTTGACTTTAGACTTGTCCATATACTCTAATATCAGACAGAATAATTGTACATATAAATGAAATTATATTTCTTTCCCTGTAGCACTCCAAAGACCTATTTACTTGCAATAAAATATCAACTCCTGTTTCTACCCAGTAAGACCTTACATGATTCAGCCCTTCACAAGCTTTCCTTCCTTATCTGCAACTCTCCCCTTTCTCTGTCCTCTAGCCACACTGACCCGCTTTCATTTCCTCAAATTTAAGGGCCTTGGCGTATTTTCTTTCTTTCCTTGTAATACTTTACTTAGTGCTCTTTGTTTGGCTGTCTCCTTATTTTTGTTTAATTCTTATTATTGTTCAACTTAGTGTCTGCCTTTTCAGAAAGACTATTCCTGACCACTTTCATGACACTTGTCACCATTTCTTGTCATTGTCAGTATTTATTCATTTGCCTATTGATTAATTAGCTAAGTGAAAGATTCATTGCTTGTCTGTTCTTTTCACTAGATATTGAGCTCCATAGAGACAGTAACATCTCTGTGTAATTCAATATTTGTCCAATACCATTACATAGCAAGTGTCCAGAAGATATTTGAATGTTTATTGGACATTTAGTAACCAATGATGACACAGAGTGGAAAGAGATTTTAGACATATTCTCAGTGAAAAACTGAACTCCTTATTAGAAAAGGATGCCAGGAATTAAAATGAGGGAGAAGATTTCAGAGAAGCCACCAAGATAATACCCCAAAATTTCAGCACTGATACCCGGAAAAAGAAGAGGCAGAGATCACACTTTCTTTTATAGTCACATAAAAAGAACAGTGGCTCTGCCCGTGATAAAGACACAGATTACAGGAGGATGAGCAGGTTTATTTTCAGAAAATGATGGCCGCTTTTCCTTTTTATGTCGAAATTGAGATTCTGGCAAAAAAGCTAGTTAGAAATATCCACAGGTGGCTGGAATTATGATGCAGATGCTCAGGAAGGTGGTGAAATTAGAAAACAACTTGGCACTGAGGGGCAAACAAGTGAAATGCCTCTACAGGTAGTTACTGTAGTTTAATATGACTTTATTAGAGTTTAAAAAACACTACCTACTGGGTTGTATTTAACTATAGACTTATAATGTTTCTGATCCAGTAGAGTAAGTCTCTATAAATTATATATGTTAATGTGTACACTACTCTTTTAAAATTATTTTTTGTATTTGCTTTGGCAGGACATTTTGAGAAACTGAAATGTTTATGTTAGTGATTCCTAAAAATTTGAGCTTCAGTTAGAGGATTTGATTTAATGCCACACATCTCATCTTTCTTATTCTCCTTTGCCAATCTACAGATAAATGCATTACTGCTCAAAACTGTTTGAAAGCTGAAAATACCACTTGCCAAAGTAATGTATAAAGCCAAAAGACTAAAGATGTTAGGTTATACATTCCTTATGAGAAAGTGACATATATTAATATTAAAATTGGTAAAATGTGGGTGCTATTAGGACATAATTGAGAACAAAAAAGTCAGCATACTTCAAAGTATGGTAAGAATCTGAGAGTTAGGTTGGCTGTGATTGCTGGGTTCTGAACTTGAGGTTCAGGAAGAAAATTCTTTGTATTTTGAATGTTCTTACAACTCAGCAAAGTCCATGTTTCTTGTGGTTCTGCATCCGGTTGAAAAAGACTGTTAAAGTAGAGGGTCTCAGGAAGAGTAGTTTAAGGGGAAACTGTGGCAGGAAAAGGGAGAATAAAGAAGGACTGGGTATTTGTGGAAGACCACTTAGTTCTTGGGTAGTATGGTTGCACCAGTTTTGTCAAAAATAGATACACCATGTGTTTGGTATATACAGATTTGCAAGTGCTGTTTGTCTGGTTTTCCTAAGACAAACTTAATTTTTTTGTGAAGCCAGGTGCTGTAGGGCACCTGCTCACATTTATTAATAGCATGTAATTCATTTGGATTTGGGAAAAATAACATTTTTCTCCCCTTCCTTTGAAGACTTATGAATTCAGGTCCAGAAGAATGGTCTTGTTTATATTCCGTGTTGCTGATATACATGAACAGACTATGTGCTGCGTTTATCCTCTACCTGATTTGTCTTATAACTAAGGCTCAGTTATGTAAATGTGGTTTGTTTGCCCTTTCTTATTACTGTGAAGTCCTTTCTGCCCTGAGACTGTTAAAATATTTTTTTCTTAATGAGTCTTCCCTAGTATGATTGGTATATCTTTCCTCTGTTCCTGAATACTTTCATTTTTTTTCATTTTGAACTCACAATTCTAAGGGTTGGAAGCCAGCTGAACTGCACCAGAGGCCGTATTTTTTTCACTCTTTCCATGTGTTATATCTGACATAATTCTGTGAGGCATTGTAAAAGCATCTCGAAAGCTATTTAAGCTCAACCTTAAGATAAGGTATAGGTAGCATTTTTTCTTTTACTCTACCATTCTTTGCTTTTTCCCTCCTCTATTTTATTTTATTTTATTTTATTACTTTTATTGGAGATTAATACTTTTGAAAATCTATATTTTTAAAATTGGTACAGATAAATGGACTAAGCATTCAAATTAAGGCAAGTTTCATCCCAGCTTACCTAATAACGGGGAAAATAGGAAATACTCATCTTGGGTTTGATGCTCAGTTTGTACTGAAAAATACATAAATACATAGACTTCTTTTGGAGAATTTGATCTAATTGAATTAACTGAGTTTTCTATACTTGTTTATTACACAACCAGTTTTTTTTCTTATTGAACACATTTAAGTTGTCTTCACACACACACACACCTCAAGGTTCTGTGAATTCTGTACTTGCTGTTATGAAGAAATCCAGGCTTGTGTTTTAGACCCTCTCCTGAGGCTAATAGCCCAATGAGTTTCATATTGTTATATTATCATAAATGTCTGTTACCTTCATCATTTTTCAATTCAGTTTCTTTCCACAAGTGTTCTGCTTTCTCACCAATTTACTGTCACATTATTTTTCCACAGTTAACTTCCTGGACAAATAAATCGGGGGGATTTATGCAATTGTGCTTTAAAGCAAGAGTGGCCATTTTGGCTATGACTATATAGTGTATACTTTGGCAGGGTTTTCTGAGGCTTCTGTAATTCATCACTCTGACTCAGTATGGTCTTCATCACCCTGATGGTTCTCTGATGATATAGACTGTTGAAACAGAGGAAGGAATAGATAACTAGAAAAAAAGGACAAATTACAGAACCCTGAACAAAATGCCTTATGATTATGACACTTTCATATTATTATTACTCAATTAAGAATATTTTAGTAATAAAGACATCTTTAAAATGAAGTCTTGGTTGGAAAATGCTTTCAGCAATTTGGGAAATCTTTGGCATTGTCATTTTGTTAAGAAAAATTATCCATGCCATGGATTTGGGAGATAGAGTACATTCCATCTACATGGTCTAAAGATAAAACATCTTGCAAGATCATTTTTTAGTTTTCTTGAATACCATTAGTTGAGGCCCTGCCAAACTTTAATGTAAGTTTCCTTTAAGACAGAGGAATCTTAGCTCCTCAGAAAGAAAATGGGCTACATCACTTAAAAAATGAAGAAATATTTTAAAATTCAAATCCATTATCCATTATCATGGATATGTTTTGATTTTTATCTAGGAGAGAAAGGACAATCTACTCATGAAGCTAGACAGCTTTCAAAACATTACAAAGTTATTCTTCATCCTTAATGCAGACTTGGGAGCATGTGTGACACTGGAGCTGTGATGGTGACAATTTGCACTGTAGGAAAAGATTAATGACACTAGAACCCGCCAGCATGGTGCTTACCACGCATTTTCTGTATTAAGGGACAACCATTTGTTTTCCCTTTTGCATTACTCTCTGCTTCTTGATTTAGTTGGCAGTATAATGGAAACAAGGTTTTAAATGACTGATCTGACTACCATCCTTTCTTCATGACTGATGTCCAGTAAAACACAATATTTTCCCTTGAAAGGAGCAAGATCATTTTTATTTTTTTTATTGTGCATCATATTTATTATTTTATTCCCTAGGATTTTTAAGAACTGTTTTTTTAAATCATCACTTTTAAACTAGAGCTTGGAAATCTCTGACGTACCCTTTAACATCAGAAGAAAAAAATGATACTATACCTATACTAAAAGGCTAGGCCCATTCTAGCCTTTCATATGTGGAACCGAATGGGTTTGTATCCGTAAGAGAGTTCCTATGGGAACTAGTTCTTTTAATGCTACACTCAAAATAATGTAAGCTAGAATGGGGTAGGAGGAACAGGTGAGCACCAGAAAGAAATGAGGAATGGTTGAGTTGTGTTCAATAAAGTTACTCTTTAAAATATTCTGGTTACTGGCTGCACTCCCATCTAAAACACCGGTCCATTTAGTCACATATTTGCACTTGTAATGGATTTCGTGAGCAAAACAGCATTCCATCTGTATAAACTGAATAGCTTGACAAAACACTGCTCACTTGTCACTAACTGCCCTTCAGAATTGTAATCTGGAGGGAAGGTTGCAAAACAGACATGACTTTAGATGTCTTAGCAGCCAGAGAGGATGACTGTGACATACTTCATAATAAAGTGTCATCTTCCAAGATACATAAAAATCAGTTGTATTTACTGTGCACCAGATCTTTTTTTAGCACCAACTAAATGACAGTGTCATGCCTGTACTGCTGCATGCATAATTCAAATCATTTTTTCACAATGTATTACTCTAGTCAGCCCAAGGTGGGTGGTCCCTCAGGGATCACTGCTCTCTCTTTGACCTTGGTCATGAATTACCTATCAAAGGTAAGACTTGATATTTTAGCAGAGATTATGCAAGGTTTTCCATAAATAGATCTGGAGAAATCGAAACCATACCTTTGCATTGTTAAAGCTCTCTGTAAATTGAATTTGGAATTAATCAAAAGGATCATCAGGGTTCCTAGAGATAAACAAGGGAATGCTGTGCTCTGGGGATTTTTTAACACGTATATGAATCATGCTGAATATCAGTGGCCTGTAAAACTGTGGAAAAGAAAATTGGAAAGGAGGATAGCTTACCTTAAAATTACTCTGCTCATTTCCTTGCCCTTCTCATTAGTCACACAAGAGAGTGTAAAATGAAAGTAAGCAATGTTAAATGAACAACCTGACACAAATAGTGTATTTCTAATATAAAAGTCTACTGCATAAAAACAAAAGGCATTTATTGGCATTTTTATGGCACATTTTTACTCTTTGAATTATATTTGTATTTTCAAGAATTTATGGTACAAATTACTGAGTGTTAGATTGATGATGAAATGTAAACAGTTGGTATCAGAACTCCTACATCAAGAAGTCCCATGGTAACTGGCTTTTGACAGGTATCTACCAACTATGTACTATTAGCTTGAGACATTCTTCTTAAAATGTAAGAAAACTAGTTTTAAATATTCATTTAAAATCAAAAGAAAAGTACTTTAATGTTTTTTTCTGAAAATATAACATCATATTAGAATTTTTCAACAGTATAAGTTGATGTAATTTCCAGGTATTCTTAGAGGTGACTTTAAATTAAAGGATTAGAAGTCATTGCATATAGACATACTTACATTATGACTAATATATAATTTAGGGCTAATGTTCATGTTAATACATATTCCATTGTTAATCATTTTATTAGCTGGAAAATATCCAGATAGATTAATCAGTACAAGATTCCTGTTTCCATGGTTAACAAATTAGGTCACAGTGAAATGGTGTTTAAAAGTTCAGGTTAGTGCAAAAGGAGACACCATGTGAAAAGTTGGTCAACCTTACAGGTTATAGTTAACTAATATAAATTAAATAAAAGCAATGTTTTTATTCATTCATCTTATAAAATGTAAAAAAAAGTATGACAATACTAACTTTTGGTGATTATTTGGGAAGAGAATCTTCCAGTCTTGGTGGACGTATAAATTGGAACAGTACCTTTAGAGAACAATTTGCAAGATTCATAAAGTTAAATCTGCATTTACTACTCAACTGATGACAATTCCACTTATTGGTATATAGCCTAGAGAAATGCTCATATGTATACACAAGGCAGTTTGTGAAAGTATATTCAATGGGATGATGTTTGCAGTACCAAATTATGGGGAACAGCCTAAACCACTATCATCACTGTGTAAATAAAATACAGTCTAGTCATAAAATGGAACTTGCATGACTGTTTAGAAAAGGAACAGAATACACTACAAATACAGATCTTTAAAACATTAAAGCAAGTGGCAGAACATGTATAATTGGTTACCATTTATGAATATATAAAACAACAAATAATATTCTGCATTATTTATAGATATATGTATATTTATTTAAAAGCCATCACATTCCTGGGAGAGGTAGATAACTACAGTAATAAGTTCACTGTATATTTTCCTTGACATTTTTCTATGACCTTACACATGTATGTATTCATATGTATGTGTTTGTGTGCAGTAATTGTTATGTTTTCTTTTTTATTAACAATAATATATTTTGGATCTATATCCATGTTAGTATTAAAAAAACTACTCTCTTTCCTTTAATGGTTACATAATATTCCATGAAATTACAATAAAATTTAGTTTGTTATTCAACTAATGTACAATTACTTGATATTATGTAATGTAATTGTTGACATTACATGTTTGTAGACATTAGTAAATTTTGATAGTTACTGAAATTATGTAAAAGACTTGTATGTTTCCCTTTATAGTCTTGAGTAATTCCACCCTCCCCTCAGGGAAGTTACAAGTAAAACGTAATTATTGAGTCAAAGGATATGCGTATTTTTAGTTTGTCTCTTTTAAACTAAAGGCTTGTGTTTATCACTTGCCTCTCTCACATTATTTAGTTACATCCGTCAGGTCCAGAGTAGATATTCTCATAGACATTACGGGATTGCTTACCCCTCAGCATCACTTAGCATATTTTTATGTCATCTGTATTTTCTGTAAATTGGTAATTAGACCTAAAGGACTGATCAGACTCAGGTTTGATTTACACATATGTAACTACCTTAGGAGACATACAGGCTATTATTATTATTGTTTATAATTGATATTGATATTATTTTGATTGATAATTATAAGTCATTATTATATATTTTCCCATGACTTGTTATAAACAGCCATTCATATATGGAGTAATTAAACTATTTTCTTTATCTACTGTAGTTTTTCTTTGTCTTTTCTTTTTTTTTTTGAGATGGAGTCTCACTCTGTCACCACGCTGGAGTATAGTGGAGCGATCTTGGTTCACTGCAACCTCCGTCTCCTGAGTTTAAGTGATCCTCCTGCCTCAGCCTCATGAGTAGCTGGGACTATAGGCGCATGCTACCATGAGCTGCTAATTTTTGTATTATTAGCAGAGATGGGGTTTCAGTATCTTGGCCAGACTAGTCTTGAACTTGTGACCTAATGATCCACCCATCTTGGCCTCCCGAAGTGCTGTGATTACAGGCGTGAGCCACTGCGCCTGGCCTCTACTACAGTTTTCCGCAATTATATTTAGTCTGCTTATTTACCTTTTTATTGAGAGTTGTATTAAAGTATAATTGACACACAATAATCTGCATATATTCAAAGTGTACAGTTAAATAAGTTTTGATGTTTATATATGCCTGTGAAAACATCACCACAATAAAAATCATGAACCTATCTATCACCTTCAAAAGTTTCCTTATGCTTCTATGCTTCTTTGCAATCAACTAATTTCCATTCTGTCACTATACACTAATTGACAACGTTTAGAATTTTACATAGACAGCAGCACATAGTATTTTCTTTTTTTATTTGCATGGTTTCTTTCAATCAGCATAATTATTTGGTGATTTATCTGTATTGTAGTGTGCAGCAATAAATGATTCCTTTTTACGTCTGAGATGTATTTCATTGCATGAATGCACTACTCTTTGTTTAATCATTCAACAATTCAACAGTTGCTGAGCATGTGGCTTGTTTCCAGTTTTAAGCTTTCACAAATAAAGCCAGTACCAACATTCATGAACGAGGCTTGGTATGGAAATATGTCTTCATTTCTCTTGGGTAAATACCTAGGAGTGAAATGGCTGGATCAGATGGTACGTAAATGCTTAACTTTTAGAAACTACAAAACTTTATTCCGAAGTGGTTGTGCCATTTTATTAGCAGTGTATGCTTTGGTTTTTCCAAATCCCACTAACACATGTTATGATCAGTTTTATCTGTAAATATTCTGATAGATGTGTGTTACATCTTGGTTTTAATTTACATCTTTTTGATGTTGAGCATCTTTTTATTTGTTTACTTGCCATCCATCTGTCCTCTTGGATAAGTGTTTATTCAACTATTTTGCCCATTTTATTTACTGGTTGTATGCTTTCTTATTGTTGAGTTTTAAAATTCTTTCTATATGCTGGATACAAGTATTTTATTGGACATATGATTGGCATTTTTCCCCAGTCAGCAGGCTGTCCTTTCATGCTCTCATAGTGTATTTTGAGGAAGTCAAACTTACCAATTTTTATTGGTTTTATTTTTTATGTTATAGCTGAGAAATATTTGCCAACACATACTCAGAAAATTTTTCTCCTTCATTTTGTTTTAGTAACTTTATAGTCATAGGTTTTACACTTAACTTTATGACCTATTTTGAGTTAATTTATGAGTGTGATGTGGATGGAAATTAACTGTTTTTACATAGAGATTGCATTGTTTTAACACTATTTCATGAAAATACTATAATTTCTCCATTTGATTGCCTTTACATCTTTGAAAATATGTTATCCATAAATGTGAAGCCTATTTTTGGACTTTCTATTCTGTTCTATTAATCTGTTTGTCAAGCTTGTCTCCTATACTACATATACTTAATTACTGCAGCTTTATAATGTCTTGATATCAGGTAGTGTTAATCCTTCAACTTTGTTATTTTTCACTTATTAGGCTATTCTAGGTTTTTTGCATTTCCATATGGCTTTTAGAACTGGTTTTCCAATTTCTATAGAAAGTCAAATTTCTATAAAAAACAATTTTTTCAATTTTTATTGGCGTTGTGTTAAATTTATAAATCAACTTATGATGCATTGACATTTTAACAGTATTCAGTCACCTGACTCATGGTCAGGATATATATCCCCATTTATATAGGTCATCAGTAATTTTTTTCAGGACTGTTTTGTAGGTTTCAGTGAGCAAAATTTGTACAAATTCTAAATATTTCATATTTCTCAATGCTAAGAAAATGGCATGTTCTAGTTGTCCTTTCCAGTAAACAGAAACACATTTGGCTTATTGTATATTGATCTTGTATCCTGAGACCTTAAAATATTATTGAATATGTCCAGTTTTTTTTTGTAGATTTTATGACATTTGTGTATGATAATTCATTGAACTTCTTGAATCTATGGGATTATAGTTTTCATTAAATTTCAATGTATTTCAGTAATTCTTCTTCAATGTTTTTCTGTCCTGACTCTTTTCCTTCAGGAACTCTAAGTGCGCATATATTAAACCACTTCAAGTTGTCCCACAAGTCATCAATACTCTATCACTCTATGCATCTATTTATATATTTTTAGGTTATTTACTTATTTATATTTTTAGCTTTCTATGTGTCATACATATAGAGTCACAGGAAGTTTTAAATATACTACAGAGGGGTCCTGAATTCCCTTCACACGCTTTCTCCAATAGTCACATCTTTCATAATTGTAGTTCAATAATATACTCAGGAAAATGTCAGTAGTAAAATATGTTTGTGTTTATGTATGTAATACTATATTATTTTATCACGTGAGTAGATCTGCATAACTACTGTCACATTATCACAATTGAGATACAGAGTGATTCCATCATCACAAAGATCTCTCTTGTTCCATTTCATTTTAGTTAACACTCTTAGCACCTCCCACCCATGATTGCTAACCTCTTACAACCACAGTCTCTCTATCTCCATAATTTTGTAATTCCAAGAATGTAATGTAAATTAAATTAGACATTGTATGATCCTTTGAGACTCCTTTTTTTTTTTTTTTTTGGTTCTCAGCACGATGCCATTGAGAGCCATCTAAGTTCTGTATGTTAATGGTTTGTCCCTTTTAATTGTGGAGTAGTAGTATGCTATGGTATGAATGTACCGTGTTTTGTTTAGCCATTCACCCTTTGAGAGTCATTTAAATTTATTCCAGTTTTTGGCTACTACAAACAAAGCTGCTATGAACTACCATTAATTGTCATTTCTTTGCAATGAATGCCCAAGAGTGCAATTGCTGGGTCCCATGGTAAGTGTATGTTTTGTTTTTCAAAGAAGTTTCCAAACTGCTTTCCAGAGTCATTGTACCATTTCACATCTCCACAAACAATGCGTAAGACATCCAGTTTCTCCACATCCTCAGCAGCATTTGCTATTACCGGTATTCTTTATTTTATCTCTTTCTGGTTTTGGTAGCAGGGCAACACTGACATCATAAAAAGTATTACCTCCTTTTGTCTTTTCTGGAAAAGATTGTAAAATTGATGCTATTTTTTAACTTTTAAGTTTAGGGGTACATGTGTAGGTTTATTATACAGGTAAACTCATGTCATTGGGGTTTATTGTACAGATCATTTCATCACCCAGGTATTAAGCCCAGTACTCATTAGTTATTTTTCCATATCCTTTCCCTCCTCCTACCTCCACCTTCCAATAGGCTCCAGTGTGTTGTTCCCCTCTATGTGTCCATGTGTTCTTATCATTAACCTCCCACTTATAAGTGAGGATATGCCATGTTTGCTTTTCTGTGCCTGCATAAGTTTGCTAAGGATAATGGCTTCCAGCTCCATCCATGTTCCTGCAAAGATTACATGATCTCATTCTTTTTTTATGGCTGCATAGTATTGCATGGTATAAATGTACCACATTTTCTTTATCCAGTCTCCTATTGATGGGCATTTAGGATTATTTCATGGCTTTGATATTGTGAATAGTGCTGCAATGAACATACAGTGCATATGTCTTTATGATAGAACGATTTATATTCCTTTGGGTATATATCCAGTAATGGGATTGCTGGGTTGAATGGTAGTTATGTTTTGATCTCTGAGGAATGGCACAGTGCTTTCCACAATAGTTGAACTAATTTACACTCCCACAGTGTATAACCATTCCTATTTCTCCACAACCTCTGCAACATTTGTTATTTGACTTTTTAATTATAGCCATTCTGACTAGCCCGAAATGGTATCTCATTGTGGTTTTGATTTGCATTTCTCTAATGATCAGTGATATTGAGCTATTTTTTCATATTCTTATTGGCCACATGTATGTCTTCTTTTGAGAAGTGTCTATTCTTCTCCTTTGCTCACTCTTTAATGGGGTTGTTTTTCTCTTGTAAATTTAAGTTTCTTATAGACGCTGGATATTAGACCTTTGTCAGATGCATAGTTTGCAAACATTTTTCCCATTCGGTAGGTTGTATGTTCACTCTGATGATAATTTCTTTTGCTGTGGAAGAAGCTGTTTAATTTAATCAGATGCCATGTATTAATTTTTGGTTTTGTTGCAGTTGCTTTCGGCATCCCCGGTGTGTGATGTTCCCCTTCCTGTTTTGTAGTTCTCATTGTAGAGGTCTTTTACCTCCCTGGTTAGCTGTATTCCTAGATATTTTATTCTTTTTCTGGAAATGATGAATGGGATTGGGTTCCTGATTTGGATCTCAGCTTGACTGTTGTTGGTGTATAGGAGTGCTAGTGATTTTTGTTTGTTAATTTTGTATCCTCAGGCTTTGCTGAAGTTGTTTATCTACTTAAGGATCTTTTGGACCAAGACTGTGGGGCTTTCTAGATATAGAATTATATCATCTGCAAACAGAGATAGTTTGACTTCATCTGTTTCTATGTAGATGCCCTTTATTTCTTTCTCTTGTCCGATTGCTCTGGCCAGGACTACCAATACTATGTCAAATAGAAGTGGTGAGAGCAGGCAAGTTTGTCTTGTGACAGTTTTCCAGGGAAATGCTTGCAGCTTTTTTCTATTCAATATGTTGGCAATTTATTCATCATAGATGGCAATTATTATTTTGAGGTATGTTCCTTCAATACCTTGTTCTAGTTTATTGAAAAATTTTAACATGAAGGGGTATTGAATTTTATTGAAAGCCTTTTCTGCATCTATTGAGATAGTCATGTGGCTTTTGTCTTTAGTTCTGCTTATGTGATGAATCACATTTTTTTATTTGCATATGTTGACCCAACTTTGCATCCCATAGATAAAGCCTACTTGATTGTGATGGATAACCTTTTTGATGCACTGTGGGATTTGGTTTGCCAGTATTTTGTTGAGGATGTTTGCATCAATGTTCAGCAAGGACACTGGCCTAAAGTTTTCTTTTTTTGTTGTTACTGTGTCTGCCAGGTTTTGGTATCCGGATAATGTTGGCCTCATAGAATAAGTTCAGCAGGAGTCCTTCCTCCTCAATTTTTTGAAATGGTTTCAATAGGAATGGTACCAGCTTTTCTTTATACATCTGATAGAATTTGGCTGTGAATCTCTCTGGTCCTGAATGTTTTTTGGTTGGTAGGCTATTTATAACTGATTTAATTTTGGAGCTCATTATTGGTCTGTTCAGGGATTCAATTTCTTCCTGGTTCAGTAGTGGGAGGGCATATGTGTCCAGGAATGTATCCATTTCTTTTAGGTTTTCTAGTTTGTGTGCATAGAGTTGATCATAATATTCTCTTGTGGTTACTTGTATTTCTACAGGGTTTGTGGTAATATCCCCTTTGTCACTTCTAATTGTGTTTATTTGGCTCTTCTCTGTTCTTTATTAGTCTAGCTAGTGGTCCATCTATTTTATTAATTCTTTCAAACAACCAACTCCTGGATTCATTGATCTAAGTGGTTTTTCATGTCTTGATGCTAATTTGAGATCTTTCTAACTTCATGATATTGGCATTTAGTGCTACGAATTTCTCTCAACAGTGCTTTAGCAGTGAGTCTGGTATGTTGTATGTTGCTCTCCTTAGTTTCAAATAACTTCTTGATTTCTGCCTTAATTTCATTATTTACCCAAAAGTCATTGAGGAGCAAGTTATTTAATTTTCATGTAATTATGTGAATTTGAGTGATTTTCTTAACTTTGATTTCTAAATTTATTGTGATGTGGTCCAAGACAGTGGTTGTTATAATTTCAGGGTGTGGTTTTTTTTTTTTTTTTTTTTGCATTTGCTGAAGATTGTTTTATGTCTGGTTGTGAGGTCAATTTTAAAGTAATTGCCATGTGGCAATCAGAAGAATGCATATTTTGTTGTTTTTTGGGTGGAGAGTTTTGTAGATGTTTATCAGATCCATTTGATCCAGTGCTGAGTTTAGGTCCTGAATACCGTTGTTAATTTTCCACCTCAGTGACCTGTCTAATATTGACAGTGGGGTGTTGAAGTTTCCCACTATTATTATATGGATCTCTAAGTCTGTTTGAAGGTCTCTAAGAACTTGCTATCTGAACCTGGGTGCTCCTGTGTTGGGTACATATATATTTAGGATAGTTAGGTCTTGTTTAATTGAACCCTTTCCCGCTGTGTAATGCCCTTTTTGTATTTTTTTTTTTAAATCTTTGACAGTTTAAAGTCTGTTTTGTCTGAAATTAGGATTGCAACAGCTGCCATTTTCTGTTTTCCATTTGCTTGGTGGATGATTATTCATTCTTTTATTTTGAGTCTATGGGTGTCATTGCATGTGAGATGGGTTTTTGAAGACAGCACACCATTGTGTCTTAATTCTTTATCCAGCTCACGCAAATTAGGGCAATTAGCCCAGTTACATTCAAGGTTTGTACTGATATGTGTAGATTGGTCCTGTCATCATGATGTTAGCTCGTTATTATGCAGACTTGTTAGTGTGGTTGCTTTATAGTGTCACTAGTCTGTGTACTTCATGCATTTTTGTAGTGGCTGATGGTAACTGACTTTTCTTTCCATATTTAGTGCTTCATTCAGGAGGTCTTGTAAGGAAGGTCTGTTGGTAATGAATTCCCTCAGCATTTGATTGTCTGAAAGGGACATGTGAACCTTCACATGTGAACCTGAGCTTGGCTATATATAAAGTTATTGTTTTTTTTTTTGATGTTGAGTATTGGCACCCAATCTCTTCTGTCTTAGGGTTTCTACTGAGAGTTACCCGTTAGTCTGATGGGCTTCCCATTGAGGGTGACCTGACTTTTCTCTCTAGCTCCCTTTAACATTTTTTCTTCACTATGGCCTTGGAGAATCTGATGATTATGTGTTCTGGGGGATGTTCTTCTTGTGAAGTATCTTACTGGAGTTCTCTGTGTTTCCTGAATTTGAATGTTGGCCTCTCTTGCTAGGTTGGAGAAGTTCTCGTGGATGATATCCTGAAATATATTTTCCAAGTTGGTTCCATTCTCCTCATCTCTTTCAGGGACACCAATAAGTCATAGATTTGGTCTCTTTAAGGGATCATATACGTATATATATATGTGTGTGTGTGTGTGTGTATGTGTGTGTGTGTATAGCTTCCTTGGATTGGGTTTCAACACACTCTTGCATCTCAGTGATCTCTGTTCCTATCTGTATTGTGAGTTCTATTGCTGTCATTTCAGTCATCTCAGCCCAGTTCAGAACCCTTGCTGGAGAGGTAGTGCAATTGTTTGGAGGAAAGAAGGCACTCTGTTTTTTTGAGTTGTCACAGTTCTTGCACTGGTTCTTTCTCATCTTCGTGAGCTGATCTTTCATTCTGATCTTCAAGGCCAGCCAACCAAAGGGTGCTCAGGCTGGACTGGCCCCATCTAATGGGCAAGACTGCTCTGCAGAATTCAGATCCGACAGCTCTCCTAAGGCTAAAGTCTCCTATGGGGGCAAGTGGAGCCTAGAGGGATGTGTGTCCTTGGCCATGCTCTGCTACAGACACTCCCACACCAAACCCTCTAGGCTCTACCTTGGCTGGCATGCTGCCCCTACCACTTCTGTAAGCAGCTCTTTATGCCAACTCCATTGTCCATGGTGGTTGGGCGGAGGATCTTTTCCTGCCAGGATTTACCTTTGGTCCTGAGGTCCTTAGCCAGGCTGCCTTTTTCTTTCTAGTTTTCAAATTTTTTTTTTTTAATAACGTTTGTTTTAATACCCTTGGTAACTTTTGTTAAAGCCCAACTCTTCACCTCTTCTGCAACCAAAGCAGTTATACATGGCAAGAGAAAAGTTTGTAACTTATTACTCTTAAACAGACTACAGTTCTCCAAAGAACAACTGACTGTCCTCTGACATTTCCATAGTAAGTTCATTCTTCCACTCTCCAAAATGACTGTTTCATAACTTGTCCTCTCTCCTTAAAGCTACAACACCTCAGTCTCATCTGATGACCTTGCTTCATGCTTCAGTGAGAAAATAAGGTATTGGAAGGGAACTTCCTCTAATTCTTTTTTTTTTTGTTTTTTGAGACGGAGTCTCGCTCTGTAGCCCAGGCTGGAGTGCAGTGGTGCTATCTCGGCTCACTGAAAGCTCCGCCCCCGGGGTTCATGCCATTCTCCTGCCTCAGCCTCCCGAATAGCTGGGACTACAGGCGCCCGCCACTGCGCCTGGCTGATTTTTTGTATTTTTAGTAGAGACAGGGTTCACCGTGTTAGCCAGGACTTCCTCTAATTCTTACCATCAAATGCAGAGGGCGTCCTTTTCTGCACCTGTAGTTTCTACCCTATATTGTATTACAATGGTTGTGGTGGCCTTGCTCCATCTTAAGTCAAGCCTTGCCTTTTTCTTTGAATCCCATGCCTTCTTGTGTTCCCTAACTATATGTTTGTTGCTTTACATCATCAGTTTCTCCGTCTCTAGTGCATCATTGCCATTAACATAAAAGCATACCTTAGCGTTTTCCATCCACCCTTTCCAGCTATTCCTAATCCCACATGCCCCTCCAGCCACAGTCCTATTTTTCTGCTCTCATGAACAAAACCTCTTGAAAGGCTTGTCTCCACCCTGTTCTCTCCACCTGCTCCACTTGGCAACTGCCCTGCCATGACACTGAAACTGTGCTTGTCCAGGTTACCAACAATTCCCACATTGCCAAATCTAATGTTTACTCTTCTGACTCCATCTTACTCAACCTTTCAACAACTTTCATCACAGTTGACCACTTCCTCTTTCTTGAACTTCACTTTGTGAGATCTCTCAGTGGGATATTGAGATCTCTCTCAATAGGAGAGAGTCTCAGTCAAATTTTTTAAATATTCATTTCCTATATAATACCTAGGGTTTTGGGCTTAATTTAGAGGTAAAAATAGGGAAATACATGTCTACTTCATCATTGCAGAAGTAAAATTATCTCTCAGTGTTTATTTTGAGTAATTTCTATAGCTATGCTTCAAGTTCACTATTTTTTTTTCTTTGGCAATGTCAGCTCTGTTGTTATTCCCATCCAGTTTAATTTTCAGCTTGTACATTGTAGTTTTCATTTCTGAAAGTTTGATTTAGGCCTTCATAAAATATTTCATGTCTCTACTCATCATTTGACATAGAGTGATAATAATTGATTGTTTTTATCTGGTATTTTAACATGTTCCAGTTCTATTTTTGTTTCAATTGATTTGTTCTTTCTACTCATTATAGATCATATATTCCTGTTCCTTTGAGTGCCTAATGATTCTGATTAGATGCCATACATTGTGAACCGTACTTTGTTAGGTGCTGAATATTTTTGCATTTCCATGGATATCCTTAAGCTTCTTTCTGGAATTTATTCAAGTTACTTGGAAACATTGATCATTTTAGGGTCTTGTTTTTAATTTTTAAGTCAGGACTAGAGCCATGTTGTCCTAGTCCATTTTGTGCTGCTGTAAGAGAATACCAGAAACTTGTACTTTATAATGAAAATAAACTTATTTCTTACAGCTTGGGAGGCTGGGAAGTCCAATATCTGGGTGCTGGCACCTTATGAGGCACTTCTTGCTGTGTCATCTGATAGCAGAAGGTGAGAGGGTAAAAGAGAGCAAGAGATTTAACTTACAGCAGCAAGCTCTTTTAAAACTGGCATAAATTCATTCATGAAAATAGAGCCCTCCTGGCACAAACAACTTCCATTAAGCCCCACCTCCCAATGCTGTTCCATTGAGTTTTTAACACACGCTTTTTGGAGACATATTTAAATCAAGGCACATGTCTTTTTTTGGCTAAATATTCCACGTGACTGAGACAAGACCCTTCAGAGCATTCTACCCAATTATGTCTGCTGGAAGTAAGCACTATTCTTTGCCCTTTTGATCTGTATAAATTTGAGAGCAGGTGTGGTTATATTTAGATTTATATGACATTCATTGTTCCACAGGAACATGGATATTATTCTTTGGTGGAGAACATTAATTTGCAAAGTCAATGTAAAGGTAAATTTTCTTTATTTGCAGTACAGTTTATATAAGCAGGACAAAATATATTTACAGAGACATGTGCATAGGGCTTAGCGGGATGGCCTATGCCCTAATTTGTGGTTTCTAGAAGGTGCAATGGTAATAGTTTAGGATAAAAAAAACTGTTAAAATGTATATGTGTTGTGTGTGTCTGTGTGTGTGTGTGTGTGTGTGTGTGTGTGTGTGTGTGTATTACTTCCAGATTCTGGTCTGAATATGAAGAGGCACCTCTATACTGTAAATAGAATGTATGTGGTTTCATGAGCCTAAGCAATGTCTTTTTCAAGTCTTCGACAATACTTCAAAGAGTATTTAATTTTAAAAATGATTATTATATAAAGTTCTTAGGTGGTACAGATCCCCCAATTTATTTGGAAGATTACTGCATTTTGTCAAGGCAGTTTCTGATATTCAGCCTAATTTTATCTTAATTTCTTTACCAGAACATTGTGCTACCTCCACTATCATAAATCATTTTGCTCCCTGTTGAGCACTTACATGCTTCCAATATAGGTAGAAAATAATAGGTCTTCTTAGTTTTAGCAGAACAATTGTATAAGTATATATCTCTTTTTCACTTAAACAGCAAGCCTAGTGCTGTAATCTGTATCATCTTGCATTCCAGGTTATGATATACATGCCATCTGCATCTATTTTTTATATCTCTATTTTTTAAAAAAATATTAAATTAGCAATTAATATTTGATTCATTTATATCCAAAAATTTATACTGATTAAATAACTCACATACGTGAAGATTTCTATTTTTTTAAACATGAAATTGAATTTACTGACTAGATTATGAACTGGCAACTATATTAATTCTGATTCATGAGTAGTTGCTCTAAATTCTTTACCATAATTATATTACACTGTGATTTTAATGTCAGCAAGCAAAATTTAAATGTCTATGATAAAATAGTTGTATTAATTTTGTAAGGTTTCTATAAATAATTACTTCAAATTTAGTGGCTTCAAACAACATAAATGTGTTATTTCATAGTTCAGTAAGTTAAAAATCTACACAGTTACTACTGAGTTGAAATCAAGGTGCCAGCAGAGGTGTTTTCCTTTCTGGAGGCCATAGGACTAAATCTGTTTCCTTACCTTTTAGAGGCCATCCACATTTTTGACATACAGTCCCCTTTCTCCATCTTCAAAGCCAGTCACATTGAGGTTCTCTGATTCTGCTTCTGTCTTAACATCTGTGTCTGATCCTCTTCTTCTGCCTGAATTTTCCACTTCTTGGGACTCACAATTATATTCATCCACCCAGGTAATCCTGGATAATCTTTCTAGTTAAAAAGAGCTGATTAGCAACTTTAATTCTATCTGCAACCTTAACCCTTTATTATGTAAGCTAACATATTCACAGGTTACAAGGATTAGGACATGGCCATCTTTGATGGGACCATGTTTCTTCCTACTGCAACAGCCAAATAGAAAATCCTCATTTGTGGAATATTAATAAATATAGAGGCAACAGACATTTAATACTCAGTGAGAGATTAGCACTGTAGGAATAATTTATTTTAGTTTTGGAGGTATTTAGTTACTCTGGATTGCAATGAAGTCTCATATTTATTGGTTTAGGATTTAACTATATCAAGTCAATCCTAGGTATTGAAAATATCTCAGTCAAGTTAAAATGGAATTTCTCAAGGTGGGGCATACCTTGCAAGTGATTCAAATGTGTAGCCAGGGCTAAGAATTGAAGAACTATATAGTAAGTAATACGGTGGTCCTTCTTTACATGTTTTAGCCTTCCCTAGTACATCAAAGGGAAAGTAACAGAATAAGCATACAAATAAAATATATAATAGTCCCCAAATGTAAGAAATATAGTTGAAATTCCACTAAAGTCTACCTCCATGCCAGGTTCATAAAACTGAAGAATTTTCTTATGGGTTTCATGAAATGTCATTAAAAAAATTTTTGGAAGATTAGAGAATACCACAAAATGTGAAGACTTGGAATGAAGAGAGTCATTTTATTAAAATCATTGAATGTCAGTTGCAATTTTCACTTAATAAACTTTCCTCACTCAGGAGTCTTTGCTTTCTGTTTTAGAATAATTTTTATCAATCAGTATATTTATCCTGTTCCTTGTTTGACAAACCAGTAAGGAATTACACATGCAAATGTGAGTCTGTTGCAAATAGAGGTCTCTGGAAGTTTTCAGCAATCAAGTGTGCAGGATAGGGTATATCTGGTTCAAGACAAAAACAGGCACCCTACACATTGGTAGCCAAGATAATAAGCAGTTCAAATGCTCGACTGAATGGAACGCAGTGAGCAGCAATCTTGTCTGTGATAGACTACTGAATGGTTGGCAGATAAAGCCAGAATAGCGCAATGTGACATGATGGGGAAAGTATGTTGGCTATGAGGACAAAGATTCTTTCTTTCACTTTAAATTTCTTAGCACGTTAGGCGTTTTTATCCCTATAAATCTAGGGGACTGGGAATAGGAATTTATTTCTAAAATATCCACCTTTCAACAATCACCCAAATGTGAATATTTGTATACATCTTAATATTTTGTTCAGTATTTAGGTTTGCTTTATAGCCCAAGGCATATATTCAGTCATTTATGACAAATGTTTTTTTCTTTTTAACTTTTATATATTTATGTGAAAACTTGTACCTTTCCTGTGATTTTCTTCATTTTAAAATAGTTATTGAGCCTCTTGGGAGTAAGTTAGACTTTAATATGTTTACTTTTCATACAGCCTTATTTATTATTATAGCCAGCATGATGGTCATTTTCACAAAGTAAGGGAAAGTTTCTCCCGTAAGGTTTATGACAGCTGTGCTAACCAGCAGAAGGGTAGCTGTTCTTGAAATGTTTCACAGAAGAAATATATGATACATATTAGTGCTTTGCACATATTTTTTCTTTGTATTGAGAACCCTAGAGGGATGAGGAAAAATGTGAGAGCCAATATTTGGTAAAACCAGAGATATAGGTACAGTAAGTCAGAACAATAGCTCAACAAACAAATCAGCAAAGATTCATAGAAATTCCCCCCTCGCTAGGTTATAGACAGATTGATGAACAATGATTTCCTCGCTGAATATTTTTATTCCTTGTGGGTAGCCATATTCATTTTCAAGTGACATAATAAAAATTAAAAGTTAATGTGCAGTACTTATTATATGTGACCACTTGCTTAACTTAGATTTGATCTCGTGGTGTCTTAGCTTAACCTGCTGTGAACTACCTTGGTTCTTTCCTTTCCTTTTATATCCACATTTTCTCACCTTGGCTCTCAGGACCTAAGATTATCCCACACTCCTGACCCCTTTTTCTTGCTTCAGTGAGGGGAGCTCAGAGAATGAGTGAATTATGGCAGATCTCCCTTTCACTGCAACTGCTGCTAATTTCACATACCTAAAATTTGTAGCACTGTGCCCAGAAGATGCAGATTCGGTTAGAATGCCTGGGGCTCTAGGTCAGGTAGGGTTATTATATTAATATTAATAAGGATTGGAGAAATAGATAGAAAGCTTGCAGCGGAAAAAGAAAATCTATCTGAGCATAATTCTAATGATTACTTTTAATTCACTGCTTCTAGAACATGGTTTTTTTTTTTTTTTTTTTTTTTTTTTGGATCACAGGCTGAGTCAGTAATGGAATTCTGAATGTTACATAGATCTCCATAATGCTAGTTTTTTATAATCTCTAACTGATAGATGAAAAGATGGACAGAAGATAGGTGGATAGACAAGTTATTGTTAGATAAACTGGAAGTCAGGGCTTTTATAAGTATATTTTTATATAATCTTTAGCTCTTGAAAATTTACTTGGGTAACAATTTTTCATATACATTATTCAATATATGATGGTATTTTTACACTGTCATTGATCAGGAGAAAACATATAAATCTCATTGTTCTCTTAGTCAAATAATATGAAACTTTGAAGAAATTCAGACTAATCTGTAGCTCAGTTTTCCAAATAGTTAAAAGTGATAGGATTGACTGAGTTTACAAAGGATGAACATAGCAGCTTTTCTTGTTGGTAGTGGACATGTTGGAGAATGATAGTGTACTCTGCCTAAAGTGACAACATCTCCTGTTTCTTTTATCTGGCCTGGTGCCCTTTTGGAATGCCACAGGTACTATGGGAGAGAGGGAGAAGGTCTGTTTTCTTAGGCATCCTATCTCAACTGATGTGCCCATGTCACAAGAAAATTGATCCACTTCTCTATAACATGTAAACTACTACTTGAGTCACATTGTGTTATATCACTATGAAACAAAAAGATGCCTATAAAATCTCAGTGCAATACAGTGTTTACAGTTTTCTAGGCAAAAAAAGAAAAAAAAACACTCAAATTAACCTCATGCTATTTCTTGCTCTTTTGTAACCTGATCAAATCTTCAGAATCTAAGCATGTCTAAAATTATGCAAGTCTAACCTATGAACTCAGTTAAGAATTGATTCCCGAATAAAGTAGATATGGACAAGAAAAGGAGAAATATTCTTTTAAATAACTATGATGTATACATGCTACATATATTTGATGAAGTTTTCTGAAGGTTTGGGTTCTGAGTTTATGACTGTACATAGCTTATATATGAAAAATTGATATTAATGTGAAAGCAGTAGATGTCTTGTACCAGCATGCTTCCATTAGAACTATATTCTGATCTAAATTTTTAAGCCATGTTTTGGTTGCTTTCTGAAATGTAGTAGAACATAAGATGTTTTCACTTTTGAAACTATTTATGTATTATCAGTGTATGAGTGGCCTGGGAGACATAAAAACAAGGTCAGCTTGGTCGATAGAAAAAAATCTCGTCTCTATCTTCAATAAACTCGTTTGTCAGAAAATGTTCATTGTAGCCCTACATTGCCAGCAACATTACAGCAATGTCTAAGAATTTGAAAATATCACATTTTAGATTTAATTAGGAGCCAATGCCATTTCCTTTCTCTACTATTTATGTAAAGTTTTCTTCTCAATTATGTGCTATTTTGGGGTTCACATATCACACATATAGTCTTCTAGTATGTCTTATAATGTTCTAAAATGCTTTTAACCTTAATATGATTTATTTCATAAAAATTTACTTCTCAATAGTCCTTTTAAATATTCCTGGAATGGTCGTCCTGTAGGAGACTTTTTTCATCAGGAAACAATAAGTATGTTCTGGTAGCATGGGAATTCCATGTCATAAGAATGTATCAACCAGCAGTTTTCATGAAGGCTTAGGAGGAATTGTGATTGAGAAAAGACAGCACCATAGAGAGGAGAGCAGTCATCAAGCGCCAGGCAAGTCATTTTAGGGAATATTCATCTTTAAATGTTTTAGTTTTATTTCATCTTGGTAAAGAGAAAATATATTTAAACATCAGTAAGTACTTCTTAGTGCTCAGATGTCTCTACCAGAAACATTTGTTTGACTAACATTTCATCTGAAGGCAAACAATGATTTCATTAGTGAATATCATTATTCACAAGTAGAAAATGTATATGTAAATGACACCCACCATATATTTTACTGACAACAGATGAAGAACCTTATCTTTATATATGAAGGCTATTGTAGTTCCATATAATTTTATGGGCCATAATAGCATTCTTTGCAGGGTTAGAATTCAAGGCAAAAGGTTTAAGCTCATATGATTATTCCAGAGAGTATGCCGCATTGTGCTTTAGAATCTTTATCTGACTTAATACTGAAGGGACTGCAATTGTGTTACCTTGCAGAGCAATGAAAGGTATACATAATTATGTAATTGCTGAATGTTTAAATTTTTTATTGTAAATAGTTGACTGATGCTTGTTTAGTTTTTTATTTCTCTGAGGGAACATCTTTGGACAGCAGTGCTTTTATGTTATCATGCATATTGATTGAGATTTATAAATGTAAGTACATTTCAATATTATTGCTATTTTTTCAACAAAATATATTTTAAAGGTAAATCTGTACTGCAAAATGTCAATGGTCTCATCATATACGTTTTGATAACATTTAAAATGAAAGGAAGCCCTATTTGATTTGTCTAAGGAAAACTGCATTAATTCATTTAATACTTATTTATAGGACATTCAGTATGACTGGTGTTACGCTGGGTGTTTTGATGATGATTTATTTCATCCCCAAACATGACATCAGATAGGAGTCTTACGATGTATACACAAATAATTATAAAGCAGTGTAATATGTAAAAATGATATATTAGTTGTACTGAAATGAGTTCTAAAGCAGCTCACAAAGAAAACATTCTATGAAAGCTTCAGATGGAGAGGAACTTTGGACTTTTAAAGATGGTTGGCATTTACATTCAGAGTATTATGTGGGGAATGCAGTTTTGATAGTAATAATTTAAAAAAGGAAAGCGTGAGGAAAATTATGGAGGCAAAAAAGCACAAGCCATGTTTTAGGTTAAAAAATAGCTTTCTTGGAGTAGTAAACTGTCAGAAGAAAGGCTAAAAAATGGACCTGCAATATTTATCTTTGAATGTCAAGTACAAGAGTTCTACTCTTCCTGAAAGCCACAGTGAGCCACAAAGTGAGGCTGCTTCACCTTATCTTCTAACCTTGTTATTCAGCTATTATTTCTAATGTTTAAGAGCACCTTTGATCAGGCGCGGTGGCTCACGCCTGTAATCCCAGCACTTTGGGAGGCCGAAGCAGGCGGATCCCGAGGTCAGGAGATCAAGACCATCCTGGCTAACATGGTGAAACCCCATCTCTATTAAAAATCCCAAAAATTAGTTGGGCATGGTGGCACGTGCCTGTAGTCCCAGCTACTCAGGAGGCTGAGGCAGGAAAATCACTTGAACCCAGGAGGCAGAGGTTGCAGTGAGCTAAGATTACACCACTGCACTCCAGCCTGGGCAACAGAGCGAGACTGTCTCAAAAACAAACAAAACAAACAAACGAGCACTTTTGTGTTCTCCATTTCTTTTTTAAATATAATATCTCATTCTTTTTTTATGGGTTTTGTTCCCCAAATTACCTCTTTTATCTCTGTGGTAAAACTTCTATTTATTTTATCTTTCCCTTTTATGCTTACCCTGACCACAACACTTAAATTACATACACACACACACACACAGACACAGACACACCCGACATCACCTTCACTTGTTTAATTTTTCATTACAGTTTTTATCATCAGTTGAAATTACTTTGTGCATATATATGTAAACATTTTATTTTATTTTAGTAATTACTACCAGAATGTGAGTTTCTTGAGGAAAGGAACTTTGTGTTCAGTATTGTATTTGTGGCTACCAGAGAATTGACTGGCAGAAAGTATGTATATTGCACGTATTTATTGAATTAATTAAAAACTGCTGAAAGTCTTATTTCTTTCTTGTTGATTTGATCAACAATTTAGAGATTGTTAAAATACTTTTAAATTATAAAGTGATATATGAATACATTTTATTTAATAATTTTCTGTTAATCAGGGGGCATACTGATTACAAAAGTAAAAGTCTCATTTTATCATTTTCTCTTACATACACAACACACTTTTCTCTCCCGACCAATGTACACAACCTAAAGGTAATACATTTATTACAATAATATTAGTATTATTAGATTGGTATATATTTTATATGCTGTTACATGCATTTATATGATGGAAAGGGAGGAATCATAGGTGACTTCTAAATTGTTTTGACATGAACAGGATGCAGGATGGAAGTGTGTGGTAGAAAATTTATAGATGTAATTTGAATGTATTAATATATTTAAAAACCTACATTAAAATTGCAATAAAGTATTTGGATATGCACTTTGGCTTTCAAGGGGGAGATGAGAGCCGGTAATATAAATATTTATGCCATCTACATTTGGATTATTCAGAAAAGGAAGGTAGATAGGAACAAAAATAGGGGGCATGACAGGGCTCCAGTGAGTTGCAATATTAACAGATAAAACTGTAAAGTAAAACCACCAAAGGAAACTGAGAGGGACTGGCTGCTGAGAAAATAAGGCAACCAGAAGTTGGTGGGATTAGAGAAACTGAGGGGGGAAAGTAGTTATTTGGTCATTGTTGAAAGCTCATAAGATGCTGAATGTATTGGAGATAAAGAGTTGGAGATTTGATTTGGCAACACAACTATCACTAGTGGTCTTGGTAAGTAATTTAACGTCCCGTGTCTTGTTCTAATTATAGTATGGAGGTAATAACATTCTATGCTGTTGACACACTAGATTGCTGACATCCTATGTACCTTATATGGGTTAATTTTTAAAAAGCACTTAGAAGAGTCCTGGCTCATAGCATTCACTAAATGTTAACAAAGTAAGTGAAAGTGTTAGGATTGTGACAACGGATAGCACTGTACATGGAAGGAATCATTAGGAGAGAGGAATAGTGTTTAAGAATATTCTAGCTTTGTATGCTGCTATCAACTTGGGCTTTATCATTAAGTCTGAGGACAATGACAGGTGTGCCTCCTCCCCTTGGAAAGGGGAAAATCAACAAAGTTTGAAGAGACTCCTCTCCAACCTTTGTGAGGTGCCTCCCTAGTATCAACAACTACTTCTTGTTCAACAATATTGAAGAAACATAGATTTTGGCCCTAGGAGTCTATGATGTAGGCCAAAATATGGTATTAATTAAATTACCCAAAGCTGAAAATCCATTCGCTATTATGTTATTATACAATACAAATTGTATCCAGCTGTGTTATCAAATAAAGCCCATTGGAGACACCAAAATGAAATGACAACATTGATACCCCAAATGTATAAAAGCTCCAATAATAAAATGCCAACGATGCACATTGCTTCAAATTCACATGTAATATTTTCAAATGAATTCGAGGAAAAAAAATAAAGTTCAAGAATTAAATTTTCTTCAGAGTTAAAATTTTAAAACATTAAAGTTGAAGAAATTAAAGTCTGAAACCATATACTCTTATTCATAAGAGTTAAAGTTTAAATAAATTAAAGTTCAAATTTTTTATCCTATTATTTTTATCATTTCGTTTTTAGTCAAAGGGGTTTGGGATGCCTGGGCCAAATGATCCTTGACAGGCATTCAATACCAAGGCATTGGTGAATGAGGTACATGCATGGTTACAACAAGAAAGAAAAGCAAGTGGTATAGTTTGCTGTCACAGTCTTTGAAAATTTGGAGATTTTAAGAGAAGCTACTAAAAAATGGTTTCAAAGAGCCTTCATGCGAAGGGGAACCTAACTCCAATTGCAGATCATGGGATTCTCTACATGAGAGGTATAGGGTAAAATAGTCATTACTACAAGAGGCCATGAGGGAAGTAGTCTTACTGGGCTACATCCAGGTTTACATCATGGCAAAAAAATGTGAAATAACAGAGAAGAGTTTGAGGATTGACTGCATATTTCAAAGAGCACAGGGTAATAGTTTGGGAGAATGACACGGCATGGAATATTAAATCACTTTCAGGGACATACACCCAAATAAAATATAAGAGAGAGAGTTTAGGGACCAGTGATAATGAGTAACTAGGAAATCAGGATGGGAGGCAAAATACAATTGGATGTCTTAATAGCATGTTTTAGAGGAAGATAAGTAACTTAAGTAGCTGGAAGCTTCGTGAGTATTGGATAGAGTGAACATATGTTGCACTTCCCCAACAGTCTTATTATTTTTTGTTGTCTGAATTTATCTTCCTTAGTAGCATTTGTCTAGATTATTTTATTTTAAAAATTATTAGTTTTATAGAAGTATGTCAAAATTGCTGTGGTATTTTACATTTTCAGTTTCTGCCATGGTCTCTTCTATTAGTATGTGCAATGCATGTGCTGAGAGCAGAGTGCTTACTTTAACACATGATTAAATGTGAAACACAACCAGCATTAACCTGTCTCTCTTTCTTCAGTACTTTCCAGATACAATTTATCTAACTTGTCCCTTGAAGGATAGCATTGTAAGGTGTTTACTGATAAAATGAATTGTCCTTGAACACAGGCAGCTAAAGGGAGTCAACTCTGATCTCAGGTGATGGTAGAAGTATTAGACACTGCTGTCTCTGCCACCCACTTAGTATACCAACCAATAATGCCATGGCCCATGCAATGCTGGAGAGGTGCAAAAAGTGCACAAGCAGGGTCAGTGGGAAATCACTGGAGGTACGTGTGAGCACAATTCCAGTAAAAGTGTATTGATATCACTGAGCACATAAAATTCAGAAAACAAAAATATGATAAATTAGCAGCAACTTTATCTTCAAAGTTATTAATTATTTTAAAGCCATGCCCCAAAATGATAATCAAGTATGTGCAGCTGCAGAAAATGTGGTGTATTTCATTCTGTAAAACATGACTTTTTGTTTAGATCACATGATTTCATATAAATTAATTTTATCCATTTTAAATTCTAATTATTCTCATGCATGTATGAAAAGTGAGTCAATAACTGGGAATATATTATCTCCCTTCGCAAAAGAACTTCACAATTAAATTACTCCAGCTATTTATTGTAGTATCATATACTCTAAATAGAAAAACAATTTACATTGATTCTAATAATGATTTGATTTTTTACTTCAAATTATAGCAAAACTTCAAAGTTCATTCCATTGAAAGTGAGTGTTGAAATATTTTTTCCTAGTATTCCTTACTGTAGAACCACACTCTAAGTGGTTGTAAGTCCACCTTTTTATATGGAAATATAGCTATCATGTAACAAAATCTATAGTCATGAAATAAAGACTACAGACACATTTTGATTTAACGATTTTATTTTACCTCTAATCTGTTTGTAAGAAGGAAAAACTAAAAGCAAACCTAGGAGTTGCTCAGTTTTCCAGTCTTCTTTGTAACTTGAAGTTACAAATGATCTTTTATATATCTTATGCAGATATAGATCAGTAGCTTGAGCTACTGGGTCTCTATGTAGTCAAGAATTTCTTTTTCTTTTCTCTTGTCATACGTTTCTTTGAGTAGGGGAAACGTAAGGTGGCAGTGGGTATGTGTATCCTGGAAACAGAGGGCATGAAGGGTTCTGGAAGAAAAGGAGTGAGGGGGTCCTCATCAATGTTCATTATCATTATTGCAGTGTTCCATTTTATCTTCACCATTGAGATGTTTTATGGGGCTCAAATCAAGATATATCTCTAAGGAATAGATACTTTCTTAATACTGGATATAATTTTATAAGAAATATGTCATTTGTACTTATTATTGATAGACTTCAATACAGTAATACCTGGAGACTTCAAACACCACTTTCTGCATTAGACAGATCTTCCAGACAGAAAATTAACAAAGAAACATCAGACTTAATCTGTACTTATCATAGATTGATATGGAATGTGATGCAATTGTTTTAGAATTTAATGATGTTATCAACTTCTTCATTGTTGAAAATCAACTGGCTCATCCCTGTGCAATATAAATAAATTGGCCCAACATCATAAGTCCATCAAATTGATTGAGTTGAAATTGTCTCCTTGTCAGAGCTCCATGACTGGACCCTGAAAACACTGATTGCTTTTTCAGTAACATAAAAAAGTTTCAATATCATTGTTCTTTCTCCAATTCCTTATAACCATGTTTGTGAAAACTCAGTTTGCGAGACATTTCTAACAAAATCCTTGTTTTTTTTTTTTTTTTGACAGAATTTCACTCCTGTTGCCCAGGCTGGAGTGCAATGGCATGCTCTTGGCTCACTGCAACCTCTGCCTCCTGGGTTCAAGCAATTCTCCTTCCTCAGCCTCCCAAGTAGCTGGGATTACAGGTGCATGCCACCATGCCTGCCTAATTTTTGTATTTTTACTAGATATGGGGTTTCACCATGCTGGCCAGGCTGGTCTTGAACTCCTGACCTCAGATGATCCACCTGCCTCGGCCTCCCAAAGTACTGGGATTGCAGGCGTGAGCCACCATGCCCAGCAACAATTCTAACATAATTCTAACCTAAGAGAATTATAGATAACATGAATAGAATAAATATATGATATGCTTTTGTCAATGAAAATAAATGCATAAGCAGTACGATTTACTGAATGTGCATAGCAACAAAATAGTCTTCACTGTCACCCAGAGGAAGCCTTTTTAGTGGCCCTAAATCTATAGACCATATTGAATATTTTGTACAAGAAATCAAGTTATTCAATACTTCACCTTAATTATTTTCACGTTCAAGTATTTAGAGTTCAGGGAACTATTCCAAAACAAAGTATAGCAGCAAATTTCAAACAATTATATTATACTTATTGAGTGATCAGCTAGTGTGAGATATAAAAGAACATAACCAAATTAGACACATCCTGGAAAACAAGGTAATACACCTGGGAAAGACAAATCTAAAGGAAAGAGCTCAACTGGGGGCTAAAGCTGAGAGATATAGGTGAGGCAGTGAAATTGGCAGATCGCACGTTTGATACAAACTTGATACCTGATGACAATAAAGGCAGTGCAGTTTGGAACTACAAAAGGTAGGCACGTATCTCCCAAATGTAAAGATAACAGCTTTCCTTACACAAGATTTGGGACGTTGAATTGAATGAAATCTGGTAACAGTTAAAGACAAATATCTAATACACGTGTAGAGGTAGAACAATACACAAAAAGGTAGAATAATAGTTTATTTAGGGCTTGATTTAGCAATGAGCAAAGTGGCTGTGCTGAGGGGTTTAATTAGATGGCATACACTAAATGTTTGTTTTTCGCTTTCTTTTGAACACCATGGGATTCTCCTCCACCAACTACTTTTGACTTACTCATGGACAGATTTGATCTCATCCCTCACTGTTTTCCTCTGAACTATTACAACACTCAGATTTTCATACTTTCTGAACACCTGGGAAATACTTGAACACTTTTTAAGTATTAAGTAAATATTGTTCAGTAATTAAATTTTGCTGATTATTCCATTTATACTTCTTGAGCTAGGATTTCTAATTCTGGGAATTTTTAGTAAGGAACTAATTTAACAGCAGCAAAAACTATATCTGGAATATATTCTCTGCAATATGTACAAAATTCCAAAATAGATTAGAAATAATTTGTATTGGATATAATATTTTTAAAAAGCTTAGTGAGGTATGGCACATCAGTATGGAATGAACGTATGAAGGCCTACGTTAATATAAAAGAAGTAATGCTAAAAATAATGTATGTAAGTGGTATACTTTTATGAATGTTTGATTTTTAAAAATGATATTAGATTCCTTCTGGTGAAAAATGCCTGATGTATATTCATATAAAGGTAACATATATTTATTTTAGAGCTGGAAACTCTAAGAAAATAGAAAAAATAATATAAAAATCACCAATAAATTTCTCACTCAGAGAAAATACTGCCATAATAAATATATTTTTATACAAAGTGTAATTTGAGTCACTTTATATGCTGCTTTGTAACTAGCTCACCATTTAATATTTTAATTGTAGGATTGGAGTTCACAAAATGCTGTCTGAATGAATGAATTTAAATGGCTTCTGAACACTTTATCAAAAACTATGCCATGATATATTTATTTAATCCCTAAATAATTAGGTTGTTTCTCATGCCTAAATATAGGAATTATATTGTAGAAAATATTCTTTCACATAGTGCTAAGTTCATATCTTTGATTCTTTCTATAGGAAAAAGTCTTGGAAATTAAGTTGATAAAATAATATCTATTTCTTAAGCTTTTGTGGATATCATCCAATAATTTCCAGAAAATAGATATCAATTTCCATTCCATTGACTTACAGAATTTCCTGTTTCATTTATAACTACACATATAGTCATGAAAAAGAGTATCAATCTGATAAATGGAAAACTGTACTCCATGAATGTTTTTCCTTTTTTTTAAATTGAAATATGCCAGATGACTTGCTAATAGCTCCATGAGTTTTACAAAGTGAATATTCATTTTACATGGGTATATACCCATGTAAACACCATCCAGGCCAAGAAATAGACCATTACTGGCTTCCAAGATGCGTCCTTGTGCCACCACTCAGTCACTTCTCCCAAGATTAATGGGTATTCTGACTCCAAATTCTGTTGGTTTTAATTATTTTTTAATCTGAAGTCATATAAAATTGAATAAAATATTGTGTTCTCTTTTGTGTCTGTCTTCTTTTATTCAACATTATGCATATGAAACTCATTCACCTTCGTACATGTAATAATAGTGTGTTCATTCTGGGTACTCTAAAGAATTGCACCGCAGGAATGCAGCTCCTCGCCAGCAGTGGAACAAAACTAGATGGAGAATGACTTTGACAAGTTGAGAGAAGAAGGCTTCAGAAGATCAGTAATAACAAACTTCTCTGAGCTAAAGGAGGATGTTCGAACCCTTGGCAAAGAAGCTAAAAACCTTGAAAAAAAGTTAGACTAATGACTAGCTAGAATAGACAGCATAGAGAAGACCTTAAATGACATGATGGAGCTGAAAACCGTGGCACGGGAACTACGTGACACATGCACAAGCTTCAGAAGCCGATTCAATCAACTGGAAGAAAAGGTATCAGTGATTGAAGATCAAATGAATGAAACAAAGCGAGAAGTTTAGAGAAAAAAGAGTAAAAAGAAATGAACAAAGACTCCAAGAAATATGGGACTATGTGAAAAGACCAAATCTACATCTGATTGGTGTACTTGAAAGTGACGGGGAGAATGGAACCAAGTTGGAAAACACTCTGCAGGATATTATCCAGGAGAACTTCCCCAACCTAGCAAGGCAGGCCAACATTCAAATTCAGGAAATACAGAGAATGCCACAAAGATACTCCTTAAGAAGAGCAACTCTAAGACACATAATTGTCAGATTCACCAAAGTTCAAATGAAGGAAAAAATGTTAAGGGCGGCCAGAGAGAAAGGTCAGGTTAACCACAAAGGGAAGCCCATTAGACTAACAGCAAATCTCTCAGCAGAAACTCTACAAGCCAGAAGAGAGTGGGGGCCAATATTCAACATTCTTAAAGAAAAGAATTTTCAACCCAGAATTTCATATCCAGCCAACCTAAGCTTTCTAAGTGAAAGAGAAATAAAATCCTTTACAGACAATCAAATGCTGAGAGATTTTGTCACCACCAGGCCTGCCTTACAAGAGCTCCTGAAGGAAGCAACTAAACATGGAAATGAACAACCAGTACCAGCCTCTGCCAAAACATGCCAAATTGTAAAGACCATCAATGCTAGGAAGAAACTGCATCAACTAACAAGCAAAATAACCAGCTAACTTCATAATGACAGGATCAAATTCACACATAACAATATTAACCTTAAATGTAAATGGGATAAATGCTCCAATTAAAAGGCACAGACTGGCAAATTGGATAAAGAGTCAAGACCCATCAGTGTGCTGTATTCAGGAGACCCATCTCACCTGCACAGACACACATAGGCTCAAAATAAAGAGATGGAGGAAGATCTACCAAGCAAATGGGAAACAAAAAAAAGCAAGAGTTGCAATCCTAGTCTCTGATAAAACAGACTTTAAACCAACAAAGATCAGAAAATACAAAGAAGGCCATTACATAATAGTAAAGGGATCAATTCAACAAGAAGAGCTAACTATCCTAAATATATATGCACCCAATACAGGAGCACCCACATTCATAAAGCAAGTCCTTAGAGACCTACAAAGAGACTTAGACTCCCACACACTAATAATGGGAGACTTTAACACCCCACTGTCAACATTTGACAGATCAATGAGACAGAAAGTTAACAAGGATATCCAGGAATTTAACTCAGCTCTGCACCAAGTGGACCTAATGGACATTTACAGAACTCTTCACAGAAAATCAACAGAATATACATTCTTCTCAGCACCACATCGCATTATTCCAAAATTGTCCACATAATTGGAAGTAAAGCACTTCTCAGCAACTGTAAAAGAACAGAAATTATAGCCAACTGTCTCTCAGATCACAATGCAATCAAACTAGAACTCAGGATTAGGAAACTCACTCAAAACTGCCCAACTACATGGAAACTGAACAATCTGCTCCTGAATGATTACTTGGGTACATAACAAAATGAAGGCAGAAATAAAAATGTTCTTTGAAACCGATGAGAACAAAGACACAACATACCAGAATCTCTGGGACACATTTAAAGCAGTGTGTAGAGGCAAGTTTATAGCACTAAATGCCCGCAAGAGAAAGTAGGAAAGATCTAAAATTGACACCCTAACATCACAATTAAAAGAACTAGAGAAGCAAGAGCAAACACATTCAAAAGCTAGCAGACGGCAGGAAATAACTAAGATCAGAGCAGAACTGCAGGAGATAGAGACACAAAAAACCCTTCAAAAAATCAATGAATCCAGGAGCTGGTTTTTTGAAAAGATCAACAAAATTGATAGACCGCTAGCAAGACTAATAAAGAAGAAAAGATAGAAGAATCAAATAGACACAATAAAAAAAGATAAAGGGGATATCACCACTGATCCCACAGAGATACAACCTACCATCAGAGAATATTATAAACACCTCTATGCAAATAAACTAGAAAATCTAGAAGAAATGGATAAATTCCTCGACACATACATGCTCCCAAGATGAAACCAGGAAGAAGTTGAATCCCTGAATAGACCAATAACAGGCTTTGAAATTGAGGTAATAATTAATAGCATACCAACTAAAAAAAGTCCAGGACCGGACGGATTCACAGCCAAATTCTACCAGAGGTACAAAGAGGAGCTGGTACCATTCCTCCTGAAAATATTCCAATCAATAGAAAAAGAGAGAATCCTCCCTAACTCGTTTTCTGAGGCCAGCATCATCCTGATACCAAAGCCTGGCAGAGACACAACTAAAAAAGAGAATTTTAGACCAATATCCCTGATGAACATTGATGCAAAAATCCTCAATAAAATACTGGCAAACCAAATCCAGCAGCACATCAAAAAGCTTATCCATCATGATAAGTGGGTTTCATCCCTGGGATGCAAGACTGGTTCAGCATACCCAAATCTATAAATATAATCCAGCATATATACAGAGCCAAAGACAAAAACCACATGATTATTTCAATAGATGCAGAAAAGTCCTTCAACAAAATTCAACAGCCCTTCATGCTAAAAACTCTCAATAAATTTGGTATTGATGGGACATATCTCAAAATAATAAGCGCTATTTATGATAAACCCACAGCAAATATCATACTGAATGGGCAAAAACTGGAAGCATTCCCTTTGAAAACTGGCAAAAGATAGGGATGCCCTCTCTCACCACTCCTATTCAACATAATGGAAGTTCTGGCCAGGGCAATCAGGCAGGAGAAAGAAATAAATGGTATTCAATTAAGAAAAGAGGAAGTCAAATTGTCCCTGTTTACAGATGATATGATTGTATATTTAGAAAACCCCACTACCTCAGCCCAAATTCTCCTTAAGCTGATAAGCAACTTTAGCAAAGTCTGAGGATACAAAATCAATGTGCAAAAATCACAAGCATTCCTATACACCAATAACAGACAAACAGAGAGCCAAATCATGAGTGAACTCCCTTTTGCAATTGCTTCAAAGAGAATAGAATACCTAGGAATCCAACTTACAAGGGATGTGAAGGACCTCTTCAAGGAGAACTACAAACCACTGCTCAATGAAATAAAAGACACAGACAAATGGAAGAACATTCCATGCTCATGGATAGGAAGAATCAATATTATGAAAATGGCCATACTGCCCAAGGTAATTTATAGATTCAATGCCATCCCCATCAAGCTACCAATGACTTTCTTCACAGAATTGGAAAAAACTACTTTAAAGTTCATATGGAACCAAAAAAGAGCCCGCATTGCCAAGTCAATCCTAAGCCAAAAGAACAAAATGGGAGGCATCATGCTACCTGACTTCAACTATACTACAAGGCTACAGTAACCAAAACAGCATGTTACTGGTACCAAAACAGAGGTATAGACAAACGGAACAGAACAGAGCCCTCAGAAATAATACCACACATCTACAACCATCTGATCTTTGACAAACCTGACAAAAGCAAGAAATGGGGAAAGGATTCCCTATTTAACAAATGGTGCTGGGAAAACCGACTAGCCATATGTAGAAAGCTGTAACTGGATCCCTTCTTTACACCTTATACCAAAACTAATTCAAGATGGATTAAAGACTTAAATGTTAGACCTAAATCCATAAAATCCCTAGAAGAAAACCTAGGAAATACCATTCAGGACATAAGCATGGGCAAGGACTTCATGTCTAAAACACTAAAAGCAATGGCAACAAAAGCCAAAATTGACAAATGGGATCTAATTAAACTAAAGAGCTGCTGCACAGCAAAAGAAACTACCATCAGAGTGAAGAGGCAACCTACAGAATGGGAGAAAATTTTTACAATCTACCCATCTGACAAAGGGCTAATATCCAGAATCTACAAAGAACTTAAACAAATTTACAAGAAAAAATCAAACAACCCCATCAAAAAGTGGGCGAAGGATATAAACAGACACTTCTGAAAAGAAGACATTTATGCAGCCAACAGACACATGAAAAAATGCTCATCATTACTGCCCATCAGAGAAATGCAAATCAAAACCACAATGAGATACCATCTCATACCATTTAGAATGGCGATCATTAAAAAGTCAGGAAACAACAGGTGGTGGAGAGGATGTGGGAAACAGGAGCACTTTTACTCTGTTGGTGGGACTGTAAACTAGTTCAACCATTGTGGAAGACAGTGTGGCGATTCCTCAAGGATCTAGAACTAGAAATACCATTTGACCCAACCATCCCATTACTGGGTATATACCCCAAGGATTATAAATCATGCTGCTGTAAAGACACATGCACACGTATGTTTATTGTGGCACTATTCATAATAGCAAAGACCTGGAACCAACCCAAATGTCCGTCAATGATAGACTGGATTAAGAAAATGTGGCACATATACACCATGGAATACTATGCAAACATTAAAAAGGATGAGTTCATGCCCTTTTTAGGGACATGGGTGAAGCTGGAAACCATCATTCTCAGCAAACTATCGCAAGGACAGAAAACCAAACACCACACGTTCTCACTCATAGGTGGGAATTGAACAATGAGAACACATGGACACAGGATGGGGAACATCACACACCAGGGCCTGTTGTGGGGTGGGGGGAGGGGGATAGCATTAGGAGATATATCTAATGTAAATGAGGAGTTAATGGGTGCAGCACACCATCATGGCACATGTATACATATGTAACAAACCTGCACATTGAGCACACGTACCCTAGAACTTAAAGTATAATAATAAAAAAAAGTAAGAAAAGAATTGTGCTGCATACCAATAATACAATTTATCTATCTACTTTACTATTAATGAATATTTATGTTGTTTCTAAATTTTGCTATTACGAATTTGATACTATGAATATTCCCATATTTGCCACTTGGTAAATATGTGTATATAATTCTGCTAGTATACATGTCACAGTAAAATTGATGGGTGATAGAGCACATGTATGTTCCTGTAAGCTAGACAATGCCTAACAGTTTATCCAAGCTCTACATATAGTGTATGAGTATTTCACTTGTTCCACATCCTTGCCAACACTTAGTATTGTCTGTTGCTTTCATTGTAGACATTCTGGTGGATATCATAGTGGGAAGAAAATATTTCTTCAGTCATCACAAGGTTCTTGGCTGAGGTACCTATAATGAAAGATAGATAAACAAGAGAAAAGCGTATAAATTTCCTTAACATAAGTTTTACATGACAGGGGAACCTTCAGAAATGAAGACTCTAAGAAACGACAAAGTCTATGTACTTCTGTGCTGAGTTGGATAAAGTGGATAATTGAGGGGAAGTGTGATTGCACAAAGGGGATATGATCTAATAATAGTGATAAACCAGGGGTTGGGGCACACTTAGAAAGTGCTGTTTCTTCAGATTGTTTTTGATACATTTGTGCCTTTGAGGCTTAAGATTTTTTTTTTCCAGGTATAGGGAGAGTATCTCTGGAATGAAGGCTTTTTAACCTGTTGCAGGGAAGAAGGGCAATGGAAGGTGAGAATGACTTTCCTGCTTCTGCTGGTTTCTCAGATTCTACTATGTCAGATATGGGGGTAGTATGTCCCAAACCCAGTCAGTATGTAGTGGTATCTCATTATGGTTTTAATGTGGATGTCCTTATAGCTAATAAAGTTCAACTTCTTTTTAATATGTATATTGGTTATTTGGATATTCTGTTGTATGAAGCATCTATCCAAGTCTTTTTCCTCATTTCTGTACTGAATTGCCTGCCATTTAAAAATTGATTTATATGAAAGTTGTGTATGTCCTGGACATGAATCCTATGTTAGATAAATATATTGAAAATACTCTGCTCTAGTTTATTGCTTGCTCTTTATTTTCTTACTGATGTCATTTAAGAAATAGAAAAAAGTCCTTAACTTTAGACAACTATTCTTATTTTATTCTTTGTTGTTAGTACTATTATGTCCTTCTTAAGAAATCTTTACTTACTTTTAGTGAAGGTATTTTTATTTTTTTTATTGTTATACTGTTCACATTAGATGTAATCCATATGCGATTTATTTTTATGTATTGTGTGGGGTAGGCTAGAAAGGTTTTTCGAAGTATAAAAGTATTGTTATAGGAAAGTTATTCATTACACTCGGTAAAGGCAGTAAGTAGGACTCTATTGAAGGGTTTGGGGTGGTATGGTGATAACTGTAAGGGTCATAGCAGTGAGGCAATTAGGTCTGTCGGTGAAGGGGAGAGTTTGGACTCAACTCTGACTCCAGCAGGAACAAGTGGGGATGTATAGCAAAGGAATAGGGTGGGGTAAGTGACGGAAATTTTACTAACAAGAAACATCGGGTTTAAGGGTAATTCTTGCTAGACTGACTCAACAGAATTCTTGCTTAAGGCAGGCCAAGGTGATAATATATAGAGTGGTCAGATACTAAGGGTGGATTTTCACTAAACTGATTTAGCTGGATTCTTCCTCGAAATGAATTATAAAAGGTTGGAGAGGCAAGACTGAGTATGGTCCTAGTCAAGTAGAGAAGCTGAAGGAGTCTGAGTCCTTTTTTTTAGTCAAAGGAGAGAGTCTTAGTCAACATATTATAATGAATAAAATTGATCGAGTGCAATTTATAGAGTATTCCATCCTTTATCCACTGCATTACAGCCTCACATTTTAAATATAAAATAAGAAACTTAAGTTATTGTAAACATGGATCTGTTTCTGTTTTATCTCTTTCATTAGACTTTTTTAAAAATAAAATTATAACAAATTGAGTTTAAAGATTAAATTAGCTTTTATTGTGATTCATGAATCAGGCATCATCCCATTAAAGATCCGGCAGAAGAGCTAGCTTTTATAAGGTAGCTTGAGCGGGAACCAGAAAAATGTGTAAACAAACAAACAAACAAATAGGTTAGTTAACATCAGGCTACTTCTGGTTACTTTCTTTGTAAAGGTTAAAGCAGAAGGGACTTCCTCGTCACTCTAGATAAAACTGTCTTGTTCCTGTGTTTGGATATCATTTCACTTTCCATTTCTCAGAAGGTCAGATAAACAACTTTGTTTTAATTTGGTGACATGGAACCTTAGAATAAGTGACTCCATTTTGATTAGATCTGTTTTGCTGGAGCCTAGTGTAGGAGCTTAGTCCAAAACAATGGCATCCCATAAATTTTATTTAATAGCCTATTTTGCTCTCCTTGCACGAGTATCACATTGTCTTAACTAATGGATCTTTAAAATTGGTCTTAATACCTGGGAGCATAAATCTTCCAGTTTTTTTTCTCCATGTTCAAAATTGCCTTTATAATTGTTGCTTCTTTGCATTTCCGTGAGTTTTAGAATCAGCTTGTTAATTTATGGCTTTCATTGTTTATGTTGAAAAGCCAGCTGTCACTCCTACTGTTGTTACTAATTTGCAGTTAATGTGCACTGCCCCCAACCTGAGATCTTCATTTTGACTTTGGATTTCAACAGTTTTACAATGACAAACCTAATTTTACATGTTTGCATTTATTTGATTATAGAAAAGCAACATTTTATATTTATTATGATCATTCATATATCCTTCACGTGAATTGTCCATTGGGACATTCAACTTTTTGATATAGAGAAGTATTTTATAGTGATTAAAATTTCTCATAGATACTACAATATGTATTTTTTTCTTTGTATTTTAATTGTGCTCAAGTTTAATGTCAGAAAAAAGTAATTATATGTGAAAGTAATTTATGCTTCATGAAAAATACTAACTGTACAGTAAATACGAAGGAAAGAACAAAAAGAAATCTACAATTCCACTATCCAGGGATAACTATTATTAATTTGAGGTGAACATTATTTCAAGTATTTCTTTGTATCTAAGAACTGAGGGAACAAAATCTATAAAGACACCCTGGGGTTGAATAATATTATCTATTAGTTCCTACTGCATAAGAAAACAAAGGACTCTACAAACATGATTGAGTATCTGTGGAGTGCCTTAAATTTTTAAATTGCTTTCAGAACAGCCATTCCACTTGAAATTTACCACGATATATAGAAATATCCAAGGAATTTATTATTACAAAAACGAGGTGATGTAACTGAGATATGGAGGAGTTGGCAGTGGACCTACGGCCTTGCAGCATGGCAGAGGTTGATTAAAGATCAAAGTCAAGTGCTTGGTTCATGAGTCACACTTCTGCATGCAGCATGTTCTTAGAACGACATTACCTGTACTACGATACATCATTAACTTGGTTATCAGGATTTGATCTTCTGGCCATTACTTTTACAAAGTTAAAACAAAAATTAGACATATGTATATTTCCTAGAACTATATTTATGTTGCATGTTTCATTTGTTAGGTTTGAAGGGGAGAGAGTACAGAAGAGACAATGATATTGAAAAGACCTTTGTAAACATTTTGCTTACATGGTTTTCTGACCCTGGAAAATAATCCCTGCATATGAAATGAAACAGACATTTTTCTAGTAAGTCATCATTCTTCTGTGCTGCTGAAGTAATCTTGTTGTGTTCATTGGTATAATTAATTTATCTTAATATCTGTTAGCTATTACAAAGACTATGTATGTAATTTTTTTCTTTTTTTCTTTTTTTTTTTTTTTTTGAGACGGAGTCTGGCTCTGTCACCGAGGCTGGAGTGCAGTGATGCGATCTTGGCTCACTGCAACCTCCGCCTCGTGGGTTCAAGCAATTCTCCTGCCTCAGCCTCCTGAGTAGCTGGTAATACAGGCGTGCGTCACCATGCCCAGCTAATTTTTTTGTATTTTTAGTAGAGACGGGGTTTCACCGTGTTAGCCAGTATGATCTCCATCTCTTGACCTCGTGATCCACCTGCCTTGGCCTCCCAAAGTACAAAGACTATATTTTTAAAATAATAACTACAATTTTAGGAAGAAAAATGTTGAAGGAAAATTTAGCTTATAAAACTACTTTTCAAAAATAATGTAAAAGAATTTATTCTAAAATCATTATTTCCAGCAATACTTCTAGGTCTCATATTATTTGCTATTATGTGCGTATATACATAGACAACTTTGTACTTACTTACATAATGCATGCTTTTATTCAATTTACCTTTTCTGATTCCAAAGAAATCTGAGGCAAATTGATGTCTACCACTGGGTTGCAGATTGTTTTCTCCCCACTTCACACTTCCAAAGAGAAAACACATTCCTTAACACATGTCTATATTCTTAATATCCATGTTAGAGAATGAAATATGAATTATAAGACACAAGAAGTGGTTTCAGCTGCCTACTTGAACAAAAATGGGTTTTAGTTTTTTCTAAATTTCAAAGGAATCACAAAGCATTCCATCACGTCACTGATTACAAAAACATTATTGCTATCTAGAGATTTCCTAGTAAACATTATTTTTAAGTACTCAAAAATAATAATGAATGTTTCAGTTTGTTTTCACACTGCTATAAAGAAATACCCAAGACTGGGTAATTTATTAAAGGGAAGAGTAATTGACCCAAAGCCTGAGGAAACTTACAATCATGGCGGAAGGTGAAGGGGAAGCAAGCTTGGACTTTCTCACATGGTGCAAGGAAGAAAAAGTGAGCAAAGGAGGAACTTGCCAAACAGAAAACTCTATGTCTTTCAAGAACTCACTCACTATCACGAGAACAGCATGGGAGAAACTGCCGCCATTATCCAGTCACTCCGACCAGGTCTCTTCCTAAACATCTGGGGATTACAATTCAAGATTTAGATGGAGACACAAAGCGTAACCCTTTCAATGAGTGTCAAGGAAAACTGAGCAAAAACTTGAAAACTTAAGGAACTGAAATTATTCTGATTCATATTTATATTGAGTTTTCTTTTGAGGTCATTCCTTTTTTTTTTCTTTTATTATTATACTTTTAATTTTAGGGTACATGTGCACAATGTGCAGGTTAGTTACATATGTATACATGTGCCATGCTGGTGTGCTGCACCCATTAACTCGTCATTTAGCATTAGGTATATCTCCTAATGCTATCCCTCCTCCCTCCCCCCACCCCACAACAGTCCCCATAGTGTGATGTTCCCCTTCCTGTGTTCATGTGTTCTCATTGTTCAGTTCCCACCTGTGAGTGAGAACATGTGGTGTTTGGTTTTTTGTCCTTGTGATAGTTTACTGAGAATGATGATTTCCAGCTTCACCCATGTCCCTACAAAGGACATGAACTCATCCTTTTTTATGTTTGCATAGTATTCCATGGTATATATGTGCCACATTTTCTTAATCCAGTCTATCATTTTTGGACATTTGGGTTGGTTCCAAGTCTTTGCTATTGTGAATAGTGCTGCAATAAACATATGTGTGCATGTGTCTTTATAGCAGCATGTTTTATAGTCCTTTGGGTATATGCCCAGTAACTGGATGGCTGGGTCAAATGGTATTTCTAGTTCTAGATGCCTGAGGAATTGCCACACTGACTTCCACAATGCTTGAAGTAGTTTACAGTCCCACCAACAGTGTAAAAGTGTTCCTATTTCTCCACGTCCTGTCCAGCACCTGTTGATTGCTGACTTTTTAATGATTGCCATTCTAACTGGTGTGAGATGGTATCTCATTGTGGTTTTGATTTACATTTCTCTGATGGCCAGTGATGGTGAGCATTTTTTCATGTGTTTTTTGGCTGCATAAATGTCTTCTTTTGAGAAGTGTCTGTTCATGTCCTTTGCCCACTTTTTGATGGGGTTGTTTCTTTTTTTCCTGTAAATTTGTTTGAGTTCATTGTAGATTCTGGATATTAGCCCTTTGTCAGATGAGTAGGTTGCAAAAATTTTCTCCCATTTTGTAGTTGTGTTCACACATTTGTCCGAATGGTAAGCAAAACATTTCCTCCTGTAGCTTAACATAGCCCTTATTTAAAAGTAAATAGCTGCAGGCGAATATAGGTTTGTAGATTTTGTTGTGATTTAAACACAAATAAGAGAGATTTCAATGTAGTCGTCCGGGGATAGGTGGGAGACTAAAATTGGGAAGGGATTCCCAATGAAGGGTTTAATACAAAACGAAATTAAATATTTTTTGCACAGGTTCCATACAAGTAAATCCGAAAAAAAGTGGAGGGGGAGGGGGTCGTCCACACCGCGAATTGTTATGGCGAGGAAGATAAATGTATTACTAAAGAAGACATGGACAGAAGGTGGATGGCGCTGCGGCCTGGCTCCCGCAGACGGACTGCCTTCTTCTTCCATTCGAGATCGCTCGTACCGAACCTCCTTGCCTTCTTCCTGGGTCTCTCGGGGGCTGGACCAATACATCTGCCGATGCCCTGGCCGAATGGCAGGCGACGTCGGGTCCTGGACCCCCACACGCAGCTCAGTACCCACGAGGCCCCAGGCTGCTGGAAGCCTGTAGCTCTGCCGGGGATGAAAGCCTGTCCGCAGTTTCTGCTGGAGTGGTCAGCCTCTGCCGGAAGGGGGCGCCCTTGTCTTTTTAATGGTCCTAGCACACTAGTGGAATAAATCTCTCAGATTCCACATCTTTTGTTTGCTCTGAATTTATTGCGAGTGAAAAACAGAGAAAACCCTCAAGTTTCAGTTTCTGATAGCAGAGTGTGGGAGTTAGAGCATGGGGACTCCAGAGGTCCCAGACCCCCAAAGGTCTCTACCAGGGCCATCTCCGTTAGTGGCCATGGCAGCCCCTCTTGTGGCCTTTTTCCTGCATCACCAAGTCAATCCTAAGCCAAAAGAACAAAGCTGGAGGCATCACGCTACCTGACTTCAAACTATACTACAAGGCTACAGTAACCAAAACAGCATGGTACTGGTACCAAAACAGAGATATAGATGAATGGAACAGAACAGAGCCCTCAGAAATAACGCCGCATATCTACAACTATCTGATCTTTGACAAACCTGAGAAAAACAAGCAATGGGGAAAGGATTCCCTATTTAATTAGTGGTGCTGGGAAAACTGGCTAGCCATATGTAGAAAGCTGAAACTGGATCCCTTCCTTACACCTTATACAAAAATTAATTCAAGATGGATTAAAGACTTAAACGTTAGACCTAAAACCATAAAAACCCTAGAGGAAAACCTAGACATTACCATTCAGGACATAAGCATGGGCAAGGATTTCATGTCTAAAACACCAAAAGCAATGGCAGCAAAAGCCAAAATTGACAAATGGGATCTAATTAAACTAAAGAGCTTCTGCACAGCAAAAGAAACTACCATCAGAGTTATTTTTATTGAGTTTTGGCTTTTTCCCCTTCACATTTATTTAATAGACACTTGGTCATAAAGCATTTGTAAATACAAATTGGGATATTAAAATGTTGTCTTTGTGACACACATTTTATTTTATTTTATTTTATTTTTTTAGAGACAGGGTCTCACTATATTGCACAGGCTGTTCTCAAACTCCTGGTTTAAGTAATTCTCCCACCTCAGCCTCCCAAGTAGCTAGGATTATAGGCTGTTACCACCATGCCTGGCTCCTGTGACACACTTTAAATCATTGTAGTATCCACTTAAACACAAAGAAAATGTGGATTTTTCTTCCCTGAGGTAAACAGGTGGTGCCAGAAACACTGAGAGTACTTTGGAAATGAATTATTGTTAAAAGTATCAAATTTTATATTGTAAAATAACCATATTTACACAACTTTGAATTTAAATGATCGCAGTTTTAATGCTTTCTATTTTCTTCTTGTGTTAATTAAAATCTTTGTAAACTTTATGGTAAAAGGAAGTCTTTGTAACAGATACTTTCATATTAAGGTTAGGAGTGTTATAGGTTAAGGAAGACTGAATTTTACAGAATAAAAAGACAATCTTTAAAATAACATTTCTTCTTAGGGACTGACCAGAAGAAGACTGCAGCAGAATCTGAGTAATAATATAATGTAAATAATATTAATTTGGATTTACCCCCAAGGGAAGATTCAATCCTAGATGGCAATACTAGAAACAAATTTGAGACCCAGTGGTAGAGTAGGGGCTACTGGGAAGTAGAAAAATAAAAGCAAATAGATAATATGATTTTCATCCAACAAATATCCCAAACAAAATGTCAAAATATGCAGAGCTAGTAGCACAATAAGAAATGACCCTCCTCCAACCAAGATACAGTTAAGGGAACTGCAGCAAAAGAGTTGGTGATAAGTATTAAATAATGTTGAATTGAGAACCTAAGACTAAAACACATGTGGATATACACGTGGGAGAATATGTTATTTGTTATAGAGGCTAACAAAATAGAAATATTGCAACTAAAAACATCGGAAAAGAAGAAAGAGACAAAAGTGAAAAAAGCATTAGATATTTTATTGTCTTTGGGATAAAAGATGATGGAAATTAAAGTACGTACTTTAAAGTTGAGAAAACATATAGAGGTCTAAGTAAAGAAGAGAGGTAAAGAAAAAAGCATTCTATAAGGACACTAGAATAAAAATAGCTACTAAAATAAAAATAGTAACGTTCATAATTACCAGAAGAAATTAAAACAAAACTAAATGCATTTACAGCAAAATTAAAACAAACATTAAGCAAAAACAAACTACAAAAAAAAAGTGAAAGAGCCACAATAAATATCACATGATAAAACAAAAGATAACAAAACTTGAGGACAAGCAGATGCATTATATAATACATATAATTGGCCTAACAAACCTACTAAAGAAAAGCCTTCAAATTGGGTCAAATCCAAATTCAGTTGTATGCTTTATACAATTATGTATTTAAAAAGTGATTTCAAAGGCTGAAAATGAAGAAATGAGCCAAGGTCACCTGAAAATGAGACAAAATGTAACCAGGGCTTGTGATCTTGGTATCTGTCAGAATGAATTCAACATAAAGAACGTTACATAAGGTGAAGAATTCTTTATAATGCACAAAGGGCTACATTTCACAATGAAAAATTAAGATTTATAAATATATTCACACAGTGGCCATCTTGATAACATTGAAACCAATGGAGATGCTAGGAAAAACAGAAACAAATAAGATAGGACTTTGAAATAACTGTCAATCTTAGAAGATACAACGGGTATATAAAAGTAATTGAGCACTCAAAAGACCTAAGTAACATAGTAAGGCAGATTTTTTATGAAGACACATGCATACATTGCTCCGCAACAGAAAGATAATAGGTACACTGCATTCAAGTTCTCACGAAATATTGTAAAAATATATTCTATTTAATTTCCTATGTGCCTCCCACGAAATAAAGAGAACTTCAATAAGGTCTGTAATATGGAAATTATACAAAAACCGTCTAATTGTAATGTAATAAAACTAGAAATTAATAACAAGATAAAAAAGATACTTACATCTGTTAGTTAAAAAACAGTTTTCCATTAAACATTTTTGGTTCAAAGGAGAAGTACAAACTTAGCTTACAAAATTTCTAGAACATAATTATCATGCCCTTCTTATATATCAAAATCTATGCAGTATCTAGAGCAATGATCATAGAAAAATCAGTAAGTTTATGTAATTATATTAATAAAGATGAAAAAGACCCAAAATAGACATATTAAACATACAATTCAAAAAGTTAGAAAAAGGACAAAGCGTCCTCCATGTCCCTACAAAGGACATGAACTCATCCTTTTTATGGCTGCATAGTACTCCATGTGTGTATGTGCCACATTTTCTTAATCCAGTCTGTCATTGATGGACATTTGGGTTGGTTCCAAGTCTTTGCTATTGTGAACAGTGCTGCAATAAACATAACATGTGCATGTGTCTATAGCAGCATGATTTATAATCCTTTGGGTATATACCCAGTAATGGGATGGCTGGGTCAAATGGTATTTCTAGTTCTAGATCCTTGAGGAATCATCACACTGTCTTCCACAATGCTTGAAGTAGTTTACAGTCCCACCAACAGTGTAAAAGTGTTCCTATTTCTCCACATCCTCTCCAGCACCTGTTGTTTCCTGACTTTTTAATGATTGCCATTCTAACTGGTGTGAGATGGTATCTCATTGTGGTTTTGATTTGCATTTCTCTGATGGCCAGTGATGATGAGCATTTTTTCATGTGTCTGTTGGCTGCATAAATGTCTTCTTTTGAGAAGTGTCCGTTCATATCCTTTGCCCACATTTTGATGGGGTTGTTTGATTTTTTCTTGTAAATTTGTTTGAGTTCTTTGTAGATTCTGGATATTTGCCCTTTGTCAGATGGGTAGGTTGTAAAAATTTTCTCCCATTCTGTAGGTTGCCTATTCATTCTGATGGTAGTTTCTTTTGCTGTGCAGAAGCTCTTTAGTTTAATTAGATCCCATTTGTCTCTTTTGGCTTTTGTTGCCATTGCTTTTGGTGTTTTAGACATGAAGTCCTTCTCCATGCTTATGTCCTGAATGGTATTGCCTAGGTTTTCTTCTAGGGTTTTTATGGTTTTAGGTCTAACACTTAAGTCTTTAATCCTTCTTGAATTAATTTTTGTATAACATGTAAGGAGGGGATCCAGTTTCAGCTTTCTACGTATGGCTAGCCAGTTTTCCCAGCACCATTTATTGGGAGTGGGGAGGGATAGCATTAGGAGATATACCTAATGTAAATGAGGAGTTAATGGGTGCAGCACACCAACATGGCACATGTACCATATATAACAAACCTGCATGTTGTGCACATGTACCGTAGAACTTAAAGTATAATAAAAAAAGAAAAAGGACAAAGTGAACGAAGTAGGCATACATAAGAATTAAAAATCTGAGTCAAGAATTTGAAAATATAGAAACAGAAAAAATGCATAAATACAAAGGCTGGCTCTTTGAAAAAAATCAGTGAGACACTTACTATTTACACTAGTCAAAAAAGAGGAACGAAAGCAAGCAATGAGAAAAGGAGATAATAACATTTGAAATACAGAAACTAAAAAAATTCCAAAAGTCTACTTTATGCCATTTTATGCAAATTAATCTGAAAATCTGAAGGAAGTGGATAATACCAGTCAACATGGTGATGAAAGGGGACGATAGATTGGAACTCGTAGAAGAATACAGTGGTGCAAGTGAGAGTTCTCTGAGTACTTTTCATATTTTTTTTACTTTTAAGCCATAGGAATGTTTTTATATAAGAAAACATGAAAACTTTAGCATCTGTATAGTAAACAATTATAACTTACTATAAAACACCGAACAAAGAAAACTCTGTAAGTCCTGGAAGACATTTCAAAAAGAAAGCATGAGAGAGAGATATCCAATGAGCACCTTTAGTGAGCTGAGCCAGATACATACCCCTGGACTTTTGAATCATGTGAGCTGTTATTTTCCGTTTTCCCTTTGAGAAGGTTTGAATTTACTCTCTTTAAATGCAACTTAGAGTTTAGACCGATATGATATTTTGTTTTGATAAATACAGAATTGTATCTACATACATCTCATCATGCTCTCATGTAGAAAAATGATTAACTTTTTTTTCTCATAATGAACTGAATATTTGAATGAGGAATTTCAAAGTCTTATGCGCATATATGTACAGAGATATCTATCAAACAGTTCTGGAAGATTATATTTTACACCTAACTTTTCACAAAATAGAGATTTTTCACAAGTGTCATGTAATGTCCTGCAATTTCAACTGCTGAATAGCTCTTAAAGCGTTTAAAGGTATTTTATAGTTGACATAGGAAAACAGCTGATAGTGAAAGAGACATCAACAGACATGTAGTCAATACCAGTAGATTTTTAGAAGATAGATTTCTCCAAGGTGAACTTTTTATTTTCATATCATTTCAAAAATTAACTCTAGATTCAATTTGCTATTTCTACAGAAGTGCTACAGATATCACTAAGAAGTTAGTCCAGGGGGCCTGCTAAGGAACAGAGTTTGATGTTTCAGCAACAAAAATTGTAAACATACGTGATGGCCTGAGCAGGGAGAAACCAGTTGCATACCCCAGAGCAGTTAACACTAATCACTCTGGGTAGAGATAAGAACGAGAAGAACACCTATGATGGAAACTCTCAAACACTTGCTGCCTCAAACCATCTCTTCCAGATGGAGTTAAATAGTCGGTATTAACAGAATTTTCCCTTTCTTTTCTTTCTCATATCCTAAATCAATTAATTTACTTAGGCAATGGAGCTTTGGCTTCATTTCCCTCTCAATGAAAGCTTTGCCTGCAACACTCCTGGCAATTCCAGCCCTGAATTCCTCCTGAGAATATTGTTCACGCTGAGAAATCCTTCATTGTTGGCATGCTCTGTAATAGAGAAAAATAGATACAAGGGTTATACAAAATTATTGGATCAGTATATAATGAACATTTAAATTACAGAAGATCCCAAACCTTAATATGAAGCTACCATTTGTAAATACAGAATAGAATAATGCATGTAAAACTCAAAGGTATCATTGATAGCTTTTTCTCCCTCATTTCAAATGTAATGAGGGCATTATTTAATGAATGTTGTACCTATGATAGAAAGCAGTAATCAAAGATGAAAGAAAAAATAAAGAAAGCGAATAGGGAAATAGGAAAGAAAGAAAGAAGGAAGGAAAAAGTAATTTAAAATCTTTGAATGACCTTTATTTTTCCTTAGCTTAAGACTAAAGGAGTGATTGAGCAACCTCAACTCTAGAAAAACATCCACAAAAATATTCTTTCAATTTTAAGGTTAAATAAAACATTTTTTAGAAGATAAAAGTTTATAAATTATAAAAATGCTATTTTGCGGCAGTAAGACTTAACTGAGTTATATAGCTTCTAAAATACATAGCATGTTACCTAATGTTTTCTGAGAGTTTCACTTAACTTTTTAAAAAGTTTTATTTTGTTTTTAATTGACATACAGTTGTACATATTTATGAGGTACACTGTGACGTTTTGATACATATATACATTGCATAATGATCCAATCAGGATAATTAGCATATTTATCATCTTAAACATTTGTCATTTCTTTGTGGTGAAAACATTCAAAATCCTCCCTTCTAGCTTTTTAAAAGTATACTGAACATTATAATTGACTATAGTCACCCTACAGTGCAAGAGAATACCAGAGTTTTCTGTTCTATCTGACTGTAACTTTGTACCAATCTCTCCACATCCTTCTCTTCTCCCTACTCTTCCTAGCCTCTGGTAACAACTATTCTACTCTTTACTTCTATGAGATCAACTTTTTTACATATGAGGGAGACATGTTGTTTTTTGTCCTTCTGTGTTTAGCTTATTTCATTTAACGTAATGTCCTCTAGGTCAGGGGTACCCCAACTGCTGGGACGCAGACTGCTACTGGTTGTGGTCTGTTAGGGGCCACACAGCAGGAGATGAACAGAGGGCAAGGGAACATTACCTCCTGAGCTCCGCCTCATGTCAGATCAGCAGAGGCATTAGGTTCTCATAGGAGCAGGAACACTATTGTGAACTGCACATGTGAGGGATCTAGGTTGTGTACTCCTTATGAGAATGTAACTAATGCCTGATAATCTGAGGTAGAACAGCTTCATCATGAAACTGTCCGCCCCGCTCCCCGACCTCATGGAAAAATTGTCTTTCACAAAACTGGTACTTGGTGCCAAAAATGTTGGAGACCACTGCTCTAGGTTCATTCATCTTGTTGCAAATGGAAATATTTTGTTCTTTTTTATGGTACATTTTTAATCTATTTATCCATTGATGGACACAAAGGTTGATTCCACATCTTGGCTATTGTGAATAGTACTGCAGTAAACGTGGGAGTGCAGATATCTCTTCGACTTACTGATTTCATTTATTTTGGATATGTATCCAGTAATGGAATTGTTGGATCATAAGGTAGTTCTATTTTTAATTTATTGACAAATCTCCATATTGTTGTCCATAATGGCTGTATTAATTTACATTCCAGTCAACAGTGTATAAGAGTTTTCCTTTCTTCATATCCTCATCAGTATTTGTTATTTTTTGTCTTTTTAGTAGTAGCCACTTTATCTGGAGTGAGGTGATATTTAATTGTGGTTTTGTTTTGCATTTCTCTGATGATTAGTGATGTCAAATATTTTTCCATGTACCTGTTGGCCATTTGTGTATCTTCTTTTGAGAACTATCTATTCAGATCTTATGCACCTAGATAATCCATTTTAATTAGATTATTATTTGTGTTATTATTTTGCTATTGAGTTAAGTTGCTTATATATTCTGGATATTATTGCATTAATATAACCTCTTGTCAAATGCATAGTTTGAGAATATTTGCTCCTTTTCTGTAGGTTGTCTCTTCTCTCTGTTGATTCTTTTTTTTTCTGCACACTGCTTTTTAGTTTGATGTCATCCCATTTGTCTATTTTTGCTTTCGTTTTCAGATCTTATTCATAAAATTCTTGCCCTGAACAGTGTCATTAAAACTGTAATGAAAATTCCCAATTGAATGGTTTTTTAATGCAGATATTATTGAAATATCTATCTGCTTACTGAAAATTATAATTCCAGAAAGTTCTGAATAGCCATGTAACATTCAAACATAGATATTCTATGCTTTTTAGGAATAGTTTTTAAAAATTGTGATTCTGTGTACCCTGAGGTGAGTTTCGATGCAGCAAGACTTCCTTGCTTTCTAAAAGAACAAGATTCCCTGATTTATCCTTGAAGCCTAAATGGTGTAAACACGAACATATAGCTGGTAAAATCATGCAATTTTTTCTTCGTGTTACTATAACCTGTTTGTTTCTTTGTTCTTCTGTTTTGGATAAGACATACATTAGCAATATACAGTTCCTTCTCAACTGACTGGTTGAAAGATGGTATTTATATATTTGATATAATCTATAAAGAGTAAGGTAGATTGCATTTTACAAAGCCATAAAGCATTATTTACTATTCAGATAACACCCTCAGTAATGCATTTTTGCAAAGTTTCCCTGTAAATTGCTAAATTGTTCATGTCAGATTTACAATGTTGTTAATGTCAAATATTTGAGTATTTGATATTGTAGAATTCTCTATCATCTTTTCACTGTCTAAGACAATTCTATTCTAAACTATTATGCTTTAAATAAGTGACGTTCTTTGGCATGGTAAAGAACACCAGAATATTAACCTGATTAAATATTTATAAGCGCATGACTGTTTTCTTGCTCTATAGAGTCATCTTCCCTGAGCAACCAAGCTGTAACAACTACTTTGTGCAGAAAAATTATATGATGTTCCTAATAGAGTATATTCTTACACTTGAAAATGTCATTATTACCCATCCATCAACTCTAGTGAAGTTATGAAACTTCATTTCACTGGAGGCCTTGACATTACATTGCTCACTGTTTGTTCTGCTTGTCAGCACTTTATGTCACTAATGGACAGGCAGTCGAATCAAAAATCTCAATTTTTTTCTTAATGGAGATTTTTTTTTCCTATTCAATCATCTGCTCATGTGGCTTATAATATGCCTCAAGGTACAGAGACAAATCTAGGTAATAAGGTCTGTTGAGCTTGACTGAAGAATGGTATTGGCTGGTAGGGCTAATTTCTGTGCTCCTAAAAATGCATTATTCCATTATATTTATGCTGTGCGGTTAATAATAATGAAGAATATGGAAATATACTAATGTTTTTGAATTTCTGTTAATTTACACTAACCAATTACAAAAGCAAAATATATTAATTTTTAAATAAATAATTTGGATAAAATTGAGGGAGAGACATTTTATTACTGTAAGTAAATGAATATGTAGAAAAAAAGGAAAATCTCCATAACTTCTGCTACAAAAACAAATAACATAGAATAATTTTAAGTATTTCTTTACATATGAAGTATTTTATGGAAAAGTAACATTAGTGTTATAATTTAAGGAAAGAAGAGCATTGTATACACACACACAGACACACAGATACAAACACACACACACACACAAGATGTCCATCTGAGTATCTGAATATTATTTAGATTTAGCACAATGAAAACTCCAGGTTCATTCATTTTTTATTTTAAGATTAATTCCCAACTTTTTTGTATCTCAGTTAAGTGATATGTTATGTGAATGCAAAATCATAGGAGGAAATAAGAATTAAAATGATCTATTAATAGTGACTTAGATGTATTTTCAGACACCTTTACATTTTAAAGGAAAAAAAATAAATCTCTAGGACATTGTCAGAGAAAAGAGGTATGAATAACATGCCTTACGATAGGTAATTAAATATAATTTAATTTCAGACTGTATTTCCATGCATACATGTGAACATAGGTCTATGTGAAAATTCATCTGTTTCAAACAAATTGCAGCTCACATCACCATGCTGTCCTGTCTAACACCTCCTGCTCCAGCCACGATATAAAAATTGGCAGCATCACCTATGAAAAATTTTAAGGAGCATAAACATGTTAAAAAAAAATTTTAAGGAGCAAAAACATGTTAAAAAGCATAAAAATAGATGTTAGAAATAAACATCTATTTCTTTGTTTTAGGCATCTTTTATTTTACCACGTACTTTTTTGGAAAGCCAAAAAATTATGGTTTTGGTTAGGATGGTGCAGATGGTTGTGGGTGGTACTGATAACATTATTGAACACTTTACTATGTGATCTAAATATATTAATTCACTTATTTCTCACCAAAACCTTATGAATGTGGTGGCTATTATTACTCACCATATTTTACAGATAAGAACGTTAAGGTGCACAGAAATTAAGTAATTTATCTTCTTTTCTCAAGAATCTTTGTGTCGCACCAAAGACAATCTTTCCTAAACACACCTTAATGGTGTATTATACACTTTAACAAACTTTGCTGCCTTCAGTTGCTGCCTCATCAATCTGAAACTTTCTCTTCTCTTCCCTTGGTTCTGCATAATTTGTCTTCATTCAATCTATTCAAATTTCTCTTGAACAAGTTTTCAGCACTTCCTGTCTGCAGGCAAGTCTTCTCTCCTTTTGCTCATTTATTGATTATAACACAAAAACATGGGTTGTACAATCCTTTAGCTTCATGGCACACAAACACATACATACAAAATGAAACCCAGTCATGTCACACAACAAGGTAGACTCGGCTCCTTTGCCCTATACACAATGAATACACAGTCATTTACCCTAATAGTTATACAGCATAAGTTAGTTGTAATAAGTTCCAAAGGGATCTAGAGTCCTTGTAAGAAGCTGTCATCTATAGAAGACCATAACCTAGAACTGCATCCAGAGGACCAGACAGATTTATTTCTTTCTTATAATAAGTTTCTTTGGGGAAGTGGAGAGAGCTTTTGTCCTGTTTCGCTATCTTCCCTTAGAAATGTTCTAAAGCATTGAACCTCAAAGGGAACAGGCCTCAACCATATCATTTGAAAGTAATCCCAGATAAAGGTGCATATACACAGAGATGTAGAGGAAAAGGGATTTGTCTCATTTTTTTCACTACCATAAGTAATCCTATGCCTTTTCTTTTTCTTTCTTTCTTTTTTTTTTTTAAAGTAGAGCTGAGATCTCCCTATGTTGCCCAAGCTGTTCTTGAACTCCTGAGATGAAACAATTCTCCTGCCTTGACTTCCCAAAGTGCTGGGATTCCAGGTATGAGTCACTGTGCCTGGCCTTCCCATGGTTTTTCAAAGGCAAGGAATGTCTTGATATGCTTTCTCTTTCAGAATATCTTTGACATTGTTTTATATCTACAGAACTGAAAAGGCACATTAAAGATATTTCCAGAATAAATAAGTCCGTCTTCAATGTTATTTCAATGTGATGTTTCTACTGCTACAACAAGGAAAATTCAAATTTTAAATAAGTAGATTGAGAAATAGAAAAATAGAAAATTGATGGAGATAAAATATTATTAAAGGATTAGATTGGAAAAACGTGGCATTTCACTCTGGAGCATTCATTTTTACTTACTTGGATTAAGACACCCATTTCACAAGTGACTAATACTCAGGGATGGTCTAAGAAGAGGCAACATTGCTTGTAAGTATCACATTGCTTATCACCTCAGAGTGGTGGGTTTATAGAAACTTTAAATGTGAAGTTAAGATATTTAATGCCAAAAATATGGAGAAAGAGAAATGTGTTGGCTTGCACAATCTGATAAATATGTGAAAATGAAAAAAGTGGGAGGGGGTCTCCTTGGAAAGTTTCTTAGGGTGGGAAACAGAGGGTGGGATTAATGCTATAACACAACTCTTTGACTTTCTTATTTCTTAAAATGTTTCTTTTGTGTTACCAAATCCTGTGCTACCAGAGTTTGGGTTGAATTCTTAGGTCCTGGCTGAAGGGGATGTTTCAGCAAAAGACGCTATTGGTATAACTTTAAATCTTCTAACACATTTCTGTGCAAGGTAGAGGACCCAACAGTGGTTAAGCTGAGGGTTTGCAGCAAATGGGGTTGCCCTATTACTTTATGTATTACAAAAACAAATCTTGCCATGGGAGAGTATGGTTTAAACCAGGGAGAAGTGAAGAAAGGGAGAAGTGGTTGTCAAAAGGAAAGAAATCAGGAACTAGGTTACTGTGCAAAAAAAAAAAAAAAGGATATAATTATTTTTTTCAAGGGCATTTTAGGAGAAGAAAATAATGCTTAGCTAATCCTCTCTGATTTCTGCATGAGTGATGGGCAATTCTGAAATAAATGACTGGATTTTTTTTTTTTTCTGAAAATGAGAGTTGGACTTAAACTAATTTCCAAGTTTTCCTTGAAAATTCCACCTGGGTAATCTGGTGAAAAGATATAATGCAGTGTTTTCTAATGGCTAGCCTAAATGGCAACTTTCATTTTGTTCATAGCTCATGGGCTAAAGTTACCACTTTTTTGTGGAAATGAGAGGCAGACAATATTTCTGAATCACTTGGGCCACAGATTGTACAATAATTGAGGCCTATGCATTGAGTGACTATGAACAAGACTGACAATCTGTTAAGGTAGTTGGCTAGATGTGAGAGGTGACATATTATTGAAGCTTATCTTTGTATGCTGGAGCTTATTCTGCTCATTTGCATTCACCAAATGAATGTGGATGGGGCTTTTAAAAGACAAAATAAAAGGAAGGTGCTGGTAATGAGAACATGGTGATTTCAGTGGTGGCACCCAAAAAGATATGTCCATGTCCTAATTCTTAGAAACTGTGAATGTGATATTTTTTTGAAAAAGGATCTTTGCAAATAAAATTAAAGATCTTAAGGTAAATCATACTGTATTATCTGGATAAGCCCTAAATACAATGTCAAGATTCCTTTTAAGAGACACAGAGAGGAGAAATGAAGCGAGAAGAGGAAAAGGCTATGTGAAAGCAGAAGCGGAGGTTGGAGTTATCCTACCACAAGCCATGGAATGCCTAGAGCTACCAGAAACAGAAGAAGAAAGTTCTTCCCTCATCTTCAGAAGGAACACAGCATTGCAGAAAGCTTGATTTTAAACTTCTAGGCTCTAGAATAGTAAGAGAATAAATTTCTGTTTTGTGAAGTCACCTAGTTTGTGGTAATTTGTTATAGAAGCCCTGGGAAATGAGTACAGGAAGTATGATTTGGTTTGAATTTCAGCTCAATTTATGTTGTTGATTTCCATTGTTTTCCATTATGTTGAATGTGTTTGGCCTGTTTTCTTTGTTGTTGTCATTTGGTATTTGTTAATATGTCCATTAGGGCAAAAAATGATGATAAGCATTTTGTATATATAATATATGGTTTCTCTTATGTAGATATAACATATGCTTTCCCTTTTTTGGAGGCATAATTCTATATTGCTGTTGTTTTGTTGTTCAACTCTCCTAGATCCTTATTTTAGGGTTAGTTCCATTGGTTTAGTTGGTTTTTGAGAGAAGTGTATGAAATCTTCCACTATGAGTGTGGATTTGCCAATTTCTTCTTGTTTTATTATCAATTTTTTTCTTATTAGTTATAAAGGAGAAGAAATGAAGTATTGAAATAAAAAGTATTACAGCAGAAATCAATGAAGTAACAAATAAAATTAATACAGAAAAATCAATGAAACCAAAAGTTTATTCTTGAAAAAACTATAAAATCAACTAGCCTCTAGCTAGACTAAGAAAAAAAGAGGGAGGATACAAATTATTAATATCAGAAATGAAGGAGGGAACATTATTACAGGTCTAATAAATGTTATAAATTAATAAAGGAACATTATGAAAAATACTATGCTTGTAAATTTAATAACCTAGATGAAATGGCCAGATTCTTTGAAAGACACAGTTTGGCAAAACTCATACAAGAATAGACAATCTAAATAGGCCTATATCTACAAAAGAAAACAAATCAATAATAAATAACCTTTAAGAACAGAAAGCACCAGATTTAAATGGGTTTACTGGTGAAGTCTACCAATATTTAAGCAAGAAATTATACCAATACTCTACAATCTCTTTCAGAAAATAGAAGCAGAGGGAATACTTCCTAACTCATTCTATGAGGCTAATGTCACCCTCCTACCAAAACCAGACAAAGATATTACCAGAAAACTACATACTAATTTATTTTATTAACATAAAACATCCTCAACAAAGTATTATCAAATCAAATCCAACTATATATTAAAAGAATAACATATTAAGTAGGATTTATCTATCCCAGGTATGCAAGTTTGGCTTAACATTTTAAAAATCAATTAATATATTTAATTTATATCATATCAGTAGGCTAAAGAAAAATCACATTATCATATTAACACATGAAGAAAAAATATTTGACAAAATTCAATACCCTTTATGATTAAAACTGTCAGGAAGCTAGGAATAGAAGGGAACTTTTTCAATTTAATAAGGAATATCTACAAAAATACCTAACAGCTAACATCATGCTTAATGGTGAGAACCTACAAGATTTCTCACTAAGATCAGGTATGAGAAAAAAATGTTCCCACTCACCACTCCTTTTTAACATTTTACTGAAAATCCTAGCTTATGCAATAAGAAAAGGAAATAAAAATGTATACTGATTGAGAAACAAGAAATAAGGCTTTGCTAGCAGATAATATGAACATCTCTGTAGAAAATCTGAACTAATTGACCCAAACGCAAAAACCTGATGCTAAAAAACAATTATGACAAGGTTGCAAGATACAAGGTTGGTGTATAAAAGTCAATTTCTTATATAGCAACAATGAACAAGTGGAATTTTAAATTACAAACACGTTATCATTTACATTTGGTGTAAATATAACAAAATATATATATATAAGAGCTTAATGAAGAAAACTAGAAATTTATGATGAAAGTGATAAAAAAAATTAGATAAATGGAGAGGTATGCCATGTTCATCAGAATTTGAATATTGCCAAGATGTCAGTTCTTCTCAACTTGATCTATAGATTCAATGTAACTGCAATCAAAATCCTAGTATTTTATTTTGTGGATAGCAATAAACCTATTTGATAGCAAACGAAAGGCCCAGAATAGCAAACTCAATAATGATAAAGTCAGAGAGTAAAACTACCTGACCTTGTGCCTTACTATATTTACACAGTATAGTGTTGGCAAAAGACCATACAAATAAAGCAATGGAACGAAAGAGAGAGACCAGGAATAAACCCACATAAATACAATCAACTAATATTTGACAAAAGAGCAAAGGCAATGCAGTGAAGAAAAGGTATTCTTTTTAACAAATGGCATTGGAACAACATGCTCCCCCCCCTAAAAAAAAAAGAATCTAGGAACAGACCTTGCATTCTTCACTAAAACTAACTCAAAATGGATCACAGACCTAAATGTAAAATACAAAATTAGGCTGGGCATGGTGGCTTATGCCTGTAACCCCAGCATTTTGGGAGGCTGAGGTGGGTGACTCACCTGAGGTCAGGAGCTCAAAACCAGCCTGGGCAATATGGTGAAACCTCATCTCTACTAAAAATACAAAAATTAGCTGGGTGTGGTGGTACACACCTGTAATCCCAGCTACTTGGGAGGCTGAGGCAGGAGAATCACTTGAAACGGGGAGGCAGAGGATGTAGTGAGTTGAGATCACGCCATTGCACTACAGCCTGGGTGACAGAACAAAACTCAGTCTCAAAAGTATAAAAATAAATAAAATAAAATATGAACTATAAAACTTCTAGAAGATAATATAGAAGAAAATCTAGATGATCTTGGGTTTAGTGCTGATATTTTAGATGCAACATCAAAGGCACAATCGATAAGAAAAAATCATTAAAGTGTACTTCATAAAAATTAAGAATTTCTGCTGTCAAATATATTGTCAATACAATTAAAAGTTGAGATACATTTGTTTGTGTCCTCTTTTATTTCGTTGAGCAGTGGTTTGTAGTTCTCCTTGAAGAGGTCCTTCACATCCCTTGTAAGTTGGATTCCTAGGTATTTTATTCTCTTTGAAGCAATTGTGAATGGGAGTTCACTCATGATTTGGCTCTCTGATTGTCTGTTATTGGTGTATAAGAATGCTTGTGATTTTTGCACATTGATTTTGTATCCTGAGACTTTGCCAAAGTCGCTTATTAGCTTAAGGATATTTTGGGCTGAGATGATGGGGTTTTCTAGATATACAATCATGTCATCTGCGAACAGGGACAATTTGACTTCGTCTTTTCCTAATTGAATACCCTTTATTTCTTTCTCCTGCCTGATTGCCCTGGCCAGAACTTCCAACACTATGTTGAATAGGAGTGGTGAGAGAGGGCATCCCTATCTTGTGCCAGTTTTCAAAGGGAATGCTTCCAGTTTTTGCCCATTCAGTATGATATTGGCTGTGGGTTTGTCATAGATAGCTCTTATTATTTTGAGATACGTCCCGCCAATACCTAATTTATTGAGAGTTTTTAGCATGATGCACTGCTGAATTTTGTCAGAGACCTCTTCTGCATGTATTGAGATAATCATGTGGTTTTTGTCTTTGGTTCTGTTTATATGCTGGATTACATTTATTGATTTTTCATATGTTGAACCAGCCTTGCATCCCAGGGAGGAAGCCCAGTTGATCATAGTGGATAAGCTTTTTGATGTGCTGCTGGATTTGCCAGTATTTTATTGAGGATTTTTGCATCGATGTTCATCAGGGATATTGGTCTAAAATTCTCTTTTTTAGTTGTGTCTTTGCCAGGCGTTGGTATCAGAATGATGCTGGCCTCATAAAATGAGTTAGGAAGGAGTCCCCCTTTTTCTATTGATTGGAATAGTTTCAGAAGGAATGGTACCAGTTCCTCCTTGTACCTCTGGTAGAATTCGGCTGTGAATCCATCTGGTCCTGGACTTTTTTTGGTTGGTAAGCTATTAATTATTGCCTCAATTTCAGAGCCTGTTATTGGTCTATTCAGAGATTCAACTTCTTCCTGATTTAGTCTTGGTGGGTGTATGTTTTGAGGAATTTATCCATTTCTTGTAGATTTTCTAGTTTATTTGCATAGAGGTGTTTATAGTATTCTCTGATGGTAGTTTGTATTTCTGTGGGATCGGTGGTGATATCCCCTTTATCATTTTTTGTTGCATCTATTTGATTCTTCTCTCTTTTTTTCTTTATTAGTCTTGCTAGCAGTCTATCAATTTTGTTGATCTTTTCAAAAAACCAGCTCCTGAATTCATGGATTTTTTGAAGGGTTTTTTGTGTCTCTACCTCCTTCAGTTCTGCTCTGATCTCAGTTATTTCTTGCCTTCTGCTAGCTTTTGAATGTGTTTGCTCTTGCTTCTCTAGTTCTTTTAATTGTGATGTTAGGGTGTCAATTTTAGATCTTTCCTGCTTTCTCTTGTGGGCATTTAGTGTTATAAACTTGCCTCTACACACTGCTTTAAATGTGTCCCAGATATTCTGGTATGTTGTTTCTTTGTTCTTGTTGGTTTCAAAGAACATCTTTATTTCTGCCTTCATTTTGTTGTGTACCCAGTAGTCATTCAGGAGCAGGTTGTTCAGTTTCCATGTAGTTGAGCGGTTTTGAGTGAGTTTCTTAATCTTGAGTTCTAGTTTGATTTCACTGTGGTCTGAGAGACAGTTTGTTATACTTTCTGTTCTTTTACGTTGGCTGAGGAGTGCTTTACTTTCAACTATGTGGTAAATTTTGGAATAGGTGTGGTGTGGTGCTGAGAAGAATGTATATTCTGTTTATTTGGGGTGGAGGGTTCTGTAGATGTCTATTACGTCCGCTTGGTGCAGAGCTGAATTCAATTCCAGGATATCCTTGTTAACTTTCTGTCTCATTGATCTGTCAAATGTTGACAGTGGGGTATTAAAGTCTCCCATTATTATTGTGTGGGAGTCTAAGTTTCTGTGTAGGTCTCTAAGGACTTGCTTTATGAATGTGGGTGCTCCTGTATTGGGTGCATATATATTTAGGATAGTTAGCTTTTCTTGTTGAATTGATCCCTTTACCATTATGTAATCACCTTCTTTGTCTCTTTTGATCTTTGTTGGTTTAAAGTCTGTTTTATGAGAGACTAGGATTGTAACCCCTGCCTTTTTTTGTTTTCCATTTGCTTGGTAGATCTTCCTCCATCCCTTTATTTTGAGCCTATGTGTATCTCTGCACGTGAGATGGGTCTCCTGAATACAGCACACAGATGGGTCTTGACTCTTTATCCAATTTGCCAGTCTGTGTCTTTTAATTGGAGCATTTATCCCATTTACATTTAAGGTTAATATTGTTATGTGTGAATTTGATCCTGTCATTATGATGTTAGCTGGTTATTTTGCTCGTTAGTTGATGCAGTTTCTTCCTACCATCTATGGTCTTTACAATTTGGTATGTTTTTGCAGTGGCTGGTACTGGTTGTTCCTTTCCATGTTTAGTGCTTCCTTCAGGAGCTCTTGTAGGGCAGACCTGGTGGTGACAAAACAAATGGAAGGGCCGGGCGCGGTGGCTCACGCCTGTAATCCCAGCACTTTGGGAGGCCGAGGCGGGTGGATCATGAGGTCAGGAGATCGAGACCATCCGGGCTAACAAGGTGAAACCCTGTCTCTACTAAAAATACAAAAAATTAGCCGGGCGCGGTGGCGGGCGCCTGTAGTCCCAGCTACTCAGGAGGCTGAGGCAGGAGAATGGCGTGAACCCGGGAAGCGGAGCTTGCAGTGAGCCGAGATTGCGCCACTGCAGTCCGCAGTCCGGCCTGGGCGACAGAGCGAGACTCCGTCTCAAAAAAAAAAAAAAAAACAAAACAAAAAAAAAACAAATGGAAGAACATTCCATGCTCATGGATAAGAAGAATCAATATCGTGAAAATGGCCATACTGCCCCAGGTAATTTATAGATTAAATGCCATCCCCATCAAGCTACCAACGACTTTCTTCACAGAATTGGAAAAAACTACTTTAAAGTTCATATGGAACCAAAAAAGAGCCCACATTGCCAAGTCAATCCTAAGCCAAAAGAACAAAGCTGGAGACATCATGCTACCTGACTTCAAACTATACTACAAGGCTACAGTAACCAAAACAGCATGGTGCTGGTACCAAAACAGAGATGTGGACCAGTGAAACAGAACAGAGCCCTCAGAAATAATACCACACATCTACAACCATCTGATCTTTGACAAATCTGACAAAAGCAAGAAATGGGGAAAGGATTCCCTATTTAACAAACGGTGCTGGGAAAACTGACTAGCCATATGTAGAAAGCTGAAACTGGATCCCTTCCTTACACCTTATACAAAAGTTAATTCAAGGTGGGTTAAAGACTTAAATGTTAGGCCTAAAACCATAAAAACCCTAGAAGAAAACTAGGCAATACCACTCAGGACATAGGCATGGGCAAGGACTTCATGTCTAAAACACCAAAAGCAATGGCAACAAAAGCCAAAATTGACAAATGGGATCTAATTAAACTAAAGAGCTTCTGCACAGCAAAAGAAACTACCATCAGAGTGAAGAGGCAACCTACAGAATGGGAGAAAATTTTTGCAATCTACTCATCTGACAAAGGGCTAATATCCAGAATCTACAAAGAACTCCAACAAATTTATAAGAAAAAAAAACCCCATCACAGAGTGGGCAAAGGATATGAACAGACACTTCTCAAAAGAAGACATTTATGCAGCCAACAGACACATGGAAAAATGCTCATCATCACTCTCCATCGGAGAAATGGAAATCAAAACCACAGTGAGATATCATCTCACACCAGTTAGAATGGCGATCATTAAAAAGTCAGGAAACAACAGGTGGTGGAGAGGATGTGGCGAAATAGGAACACTTTTACACTGTTGGTGGGACTGTAAATTAGTACAACCATTCTGCATAGACAGTGTGGTGATTCCCAAGGATCTAGAACTAGAAATACCATTTGACCCAGCCTTCCCATTACTGGGTATATACCCAAAGGATTATAAATCATGCTGCTATAAAGACACATGCACACATATGTTTATTGCAACACTATTAACAATAGCAAAGACCTGGAACCAACCCAAATGTTCAACAATGATAGACTGGATTAAGAAAATGTGGCACATATACACCATGGAATACTATGCAGCCATAAAAAATGATGAGTTCATGTCCTTTGTAGGGACATGGATGAAGCTGGAAACCATCATTCTCAGCAAAGTGTCACAAGGACAGAAAACCAAACACCGCGTGTTGTCACTCGTAAGTGGGAATTGAACAATGAGAATACTTGGACACAGGACGGGGAACATCACACACTGGGGCCTGTTGTGGGGTCGGGGCAGGGGGAAGGCATAGCATTTGGAGATATACCTAATGTAAATGATGAGTTAATGGATGCAGCACACCAGCATGGCACATGTATACATATGTAACAAACCTGCACGTTTTGCTCAGGTACCCTAGAACTTAAAGTATAATAAAAATATATATATATATTAAATAAAAAAAAGAAAAAAAATAAAAGTTCAGATACAAATTGGCAGGAAGTATTTGCAAAAGACATATCTGATAAAAGGCAGTATTAAAAATATACAAAGAACTCTTAAAATAACAAGAAAACAACCCATTAAAATGGACAAAAGATCTAAACAGATAGCTCACCAAAGAAGATATATAGATGGCAAATAAGCATATGAAAGTATGTTCAATATCATATATCATTAGGGAATTGCAGCTTAAAACAACAATACGATCTTATTAGAATATTCGCAATTCAAAACACTGACAACGTAGAATGCTGGCAAGGATGTGTGCAACAGGAACTTTCATTCATTGCTAGAGAGAATGCAAAATGGTACAGCCATTTTGGAAAACGGTTTGGTAGGCTCCTGCAAAACTAAACATACTCTTACCATGTGATCCAGCAATTGTGTTTCTTGGTATTTATCCAAAGAAACTGAAAACTTATGTTCAGAAAAAACCCTGTACACAGGCCAGGTGCAGTGGCTCACACCTGTAATGTAAGCACTTTGGGAGGCTGAGGTGGGAAGATCACTGGAGCTCAGGAGTTCAAGACCAGCCTGGGCAACAGTGATACCCTGTCTCTACAAAACAAGTAGAAAAATTAGCGAGGCATGGGGCTGTGTTTCTGTAGTCCTAGTTACTCAAGAGGCTGCGGCATGGCTTCTTGAGCCCAGTGAACCATGACAGTGACACTGCATTTCAGCCTGGGCAACAGAGTGGCAACAGAGTGAGACACTGTCTCTAAACAAACAAACAAACAAACAAAAACTTGCACACAGATGTTCATAGTAGCTTTATTCATAACTGCTATAACTTGGAAGCAACCAAAATGCTTTTTAGTAGGTGCCTGAATAAATAAACTTACCACTTCCAGACCATGAAATGTTATTCAGCGCTATAAAGAAATGAGCCATGAAGCCATTAAAAACATAGAGGAAACTAAAATGCATATTTACTAAGTGAAAAAAGTCAATCATAAATGGCTACATACTTTGTGATTTCAAGTATATGGCATTCTGGAAAAGGTAAAAAATACGAAAACACGAAAAAGATCAGTGATTGCGAGAGGTTTTGAAGGGTAGGAGGGATGAATAGGCCAAACACAGAGGATTTTAATGGCTGTTAAACTACTCTGTATTATAGCATAATAGTGGATACATGTCATTTGGAATTTATCCAAACCCGTAGCACATACACCACCAAGAGTGAACCCTAAAGTAAAGCAAGGACTGCAGAGCTCAAAGTATGTGCTTTTGTTTTATTTTTAAAAAGTGTAACTTCTTTAGATCCTCCTGTGTAGGATGTTCTTTTTTCCTTTTTTTTTTTTTTTTTTGAGATGGAGTCTCACCCTGTCGCCCAGGCTGGAGTGCAGTGGCGCGAACTCGGCTCACTGCAAGCTCTGTCTCCTGGGTTCACACCATTCTCCTGCCTCAGCCTCCCGAGTAGCTGGGATAACAGGTGCCCGCCACCACGCCCAGCTATTTTTTTTTTTATATATTTTTAGTAGAGACAGGGTTTCACTGTGTTAGCCAGGATGGTCTTGATTTCGTGACCTTGTGATCCGCCCGCCTCTGCCTCCCGAAGTGCTGGGATTACAGGCATGAGCCACCGCGCCCGGCTTGTATAGGATGTTCTGTAGTGTTATGTATCTCCTTGCAAAAGTGTTATTCTGATAAAAGCTACCCTGTAATAAATGGTACCAAAAATAAGTGCGACTAGTTGACACAGTAATAATTAACTACTTTCAACACGTTATATATTTTCTTCCTACATTGATTTTGATATTGAGTACATAAATATTTTGCTCTTGTTGAGCTGAACTAGTGAAACCTGTTTTTGCATTTGTCTTAAAAACTCTAGAATTTACAGTAGCTTATGCTTAATTTTAATTTTTAAATGTAATATGAGTGTGTTTACATTTGTTTTGTTTACTTAAGGCTTAAAATTGATATAATGTTGAGAAGATCAAGGATGATCAATTGTACTTCCAGTGCCACACAACTGCTTATCTTTTTGAATTGGAACAAAAATAGGACACAATTCTACTTACCAATTTTTAAAAATAATCTAATAATGCTTGCCCTAATAAAAGTATCTACCCAGGCCGTGAAACACACCTGCTGAGGAGTGAATTTAGTTTTGTGATGGATTGCTCTGCCCTCATTACTTTTAAATTAGGTTGTACATAGTATATATCTTTCAAAATTACCTGCACAGGGTTTGCTTACTGAAGAGCTATTAAGTATATAGAAAATGCCCACACTCGGGATTGTAAATGGTGTACTTGTTAATCCCACAATGAATTTTATGTGCTATTCGAATTGATTAAAATAGGTAACATTGCTCATCATTGAAATACTGGCTGATTTTTAATAAAAATATTTTGGTTTGTATGCCAGAAAGTCTTTTTTCATACAACTATTCATTTTGAAACTTCTCCCTTCTAATTCTTCTGTCTCATACTTTTTATCTAAATGGCAAACAATATAGTGAAGTGGAAAAATGACTTAAATTATAATCAGATGACATGCTTAGTATGTGTAATGACATAAAATATTTCTACATATGTATCTATGCGTCTATCATATATATACACACACACACAGACATATATACAAATACCTATGCTTTTGACAATATCTATCTTTAATATTTTTGCTACATCTCTCTTTTTATATTAATACTAGCATAACTTCTGAAATCCCCTTTTGTGACAGATTTATTTTCTTCTTCATGAAGTCAATATTCCAGGAAAAAAAATACCAGCTCTTCAGCATGTTACTTATAATAATCAGTTTTCCAGTTCTAGTCACTGCCCTTCACTATTTCAGCCAGAACTAAGGTGAGACATCTTGAACCCAGATAACACTCTGAGTACTACCAGTAACTGGTTGATCCAGATAAGAGCTACTGGGGTTGGCGTGAGTTCCTTAACTATCAATTGTATTTTAACATTCATCATCATTATTCTTAGAGCACAAAATACAGCTTAGGGGAAACTGTATGCAGACAATATCTTAATACAAATAAAGAAGCAAAACAGTTATACGTATATAACTTAACGCTTTGTATAAAAATGACTATACATACATACACACACTCACACACATATAAAAATATACACATGCACACTGGCTTTTTTCTCTTCTTTTCTCTGAAGAATTGTTTTTGAAAGTTGCAACCCATCATCTTAGTGAGTACACTAGTTCCTAGGGTCATTTAAGTTTCTCATAATATGGTTTTTCCAATCAGCCTTAGGGTTGAATGGAAGGTTATAAGCCAGGAAATCTCTTATTAATAAATTAAACTTATCTCAATAAAATGATTATGATATTTTAGACAAATAATCTCTTTAGGTAATTATGTTTATCTCTAAAACTGAGTCATCCACAATTGCATTAATTAGAGTGGTGGAGAAAGAAAAGGCATAAATGCATTTCTAAAATCATGGCTCAAGTAAATACTGAAAATTTAGATCTGATCAGTTCAACTCAAAGAAAACATTATGGCACCTCACAATTTCAAACTGTTTACCTTTTTAAAAAATGATGAACAACTCCATTAAAGTATATAATTAGTTTATGATTGCATTAACATGTTTTTATTTGTTATATTACCAATATTGTAGGTACCTGAAAAACCTAAGGAAGAATTCTAATGGATATTTTTGTGAGCAAGTAATAAGCATTATGTATCAGTATTAGGGATTTTTCTTGTTAATGGAATCATAATATCAATGGAATGTTTGAAAATAGGAATCATCTGTTGATAATACAAAATAGCAAATAAATTTAGATCCTTAATTGGCACTATTTATGAATGAATAATTCATTCACTATCAAATTATTTAAATAATTTGAAGTATATGACAGGTGCTTTTAAATTATTTTTTATCATTTATAGATGTCTTCTATTAGTTCTACTAACAGAAATTGCATAAACTTATGAATGGTCTCATACTTGTCCATTTGTCCTTAAAATAACATTGTTTATTGGTATCAATAATTTAATTACTCTTTTGTCTCTAATATTTTTTTTCTCACCAAATTTTAGGTTCCTCTTTTTCTTAAAGAAATGATTTCTTTCTTTTCAAATTTTGTGTTAACATAGCATTTTAATATTGAGGACCCTTAATTGCAGCAATTGACATTTATGTAGTGTTTTATTTTTTTCGAGAGTATGTAAATATTAATATAAATTATGTTTAAAATTAATCCCCACAAATCCCTTGTGAAATATGTGAAGTAGTAAGTAACTATATATAAGGATATAAGATTATCATTATTAATGTGTAGATTGAGTGCTATTATTAACTACTTTATTTTTATGAATATAGGAACATTTTTAAAACATTTTTTCTTTGTGTGAAGATGCCTTAAAATGGAATGAAAGTAACGCTTTTACTTTTCTATGTATTTTATTTTATTTTATTTTATTTTTTATTATTATTATTTTTTATTTTATTATTATTATACTTTAAGTTTTAGGGTACATGTGCACAATGTGCAGGTTAGTTACATATATTTTTTTCTTAAATTGTAGGAATGTGATTATTTTGAGAGTCTGACTATTAGCATTGTAACTAAGCTATAGAACCAAAACTAAAAATGATATTTAATAAGGGTGACATTAGATGATTTAAATCAACCTCTACTCTGTTGTCCACAGTGTGGACCTTATTTACATATCATTTGCAAAGACAGATCTTAAAAGATTATCTTCAACTTTTTTAAAGGAAATTTTAACTTCTGTTTTCTGGTCCAGCGTTTTGAGGAGCTTAGAAATTGTCATTCCATCTTAACAATTAAAAAGCTGAAAAAACTAAGGAATCAACAACTCTTATTATATTTGTTAGAGAAGTGAGTTTGCCAGGCAAACCACTGCTCCCCAAAATAAAAAGATATACATACAAATACAGAGATTCACAACTTAACAGGGCAAAAAGGCATTAGCAGAAACCAGTGTGCCAGGTTACTTTTACCAACTACGTCATATCAGGGTATCAAGAAAAATTACAAGACACACTCACAAGCAAAAAGCACAATTTGAAAAGATAGAGCAAGCATCAGAACCACACTCACATATGGCAGAGATGTTGGAATTTATGTTAATATGAACACTAATATTAATATAATATGCTAAGAGCTCAAATAGATAAAGTCAGCAGCATGCAAAAACAGATGAGCATTCTAAGAAAGAATGAAAAAAATTCCCCATTTTTCTTTTCTCTAGTTCCTGGTAACCACCATTCTATTCTCTACTTCTATGAGTTTGATGATATTAGAGACCTTATGTAAGTGAATCATGCAGTGTTTGTCTGTCACTGGCTTATTTCACTTAGCATAATGCAATGAGATATCACCTCACACTTGTTAAGATGGCTATCATAAAAAAAAGTGTTGGCAAGGATGTGGAGAAATTGGAACCCTTATAGACTGTTGCTGGGAATGTAGAATGATGCAGTGATTATGAAAGACAGTATGGAGATTCCTGAAAATAATTAAAAATAGATGGCGGATAGGAGGCAGGACTAGCTTGCAGCTCCTACTCAGACAGAAAGAGCAACATGAGGAGACTTAACATCATGAACTTTTACTCTAAGAACCATCACAGGAACATACAAGGAAAGCTGAGAGAATCCACAGACAGACCCTTTGAAGGAATTGGATCGCTGCAGCAGGCTCCTTGAGATGCCAAAAAATTGTGAGTCTGCTTGTTTTCTCTTGAGGGAAGCTGGTGGTCTGGGGCAAGTTCTAAGGCTTGGTCACTGGCTGCCTGGAAATAGATTTGGTGCTGTTGTGGGGTCAGTGGGAGTGAGACCAGCCTTTAGGACTGCAGGCTGTGTGGGAATGGGGTGAGGCCTGTGACTGCCGGCTTTCCCCCACTTCCCTGGAAACCTGTATAATTCAGCAGAGGCAGCCATAATTCCCCTGGGAACATAACTTCATTGGGCTGAAAACCACAACCCCCATCCCCCACAGCCACCGGAGCAAGTCCTGCCCAGGGAGAGTCTCGGCTCAGATAGGCCTATCTGTGCCCCCACCTGGTGGTCTTTCTCTACCTTCCGTGGTTGCCAAAGACAAAAGTCATAATCTCTTGAGAGCACTTCTCCAGACCTGCCCACTGCCTGAGAAACCTGAATACTTACCAGGCCAGCCTAGGGCAACTTTGCTTTTTCCTTACAGTACTGCAGCTGATGTGTTCTTGAAAGTGCCACCTCCTGGCTGGAGGCCAACCAACACAAAACCAGAAAACTAGACAAAAATACAATCAAGGACCTGCACAGCATCCACTTCACTCCCCTACTACCTCCACCAGAGCAGGTGCTGGTATCCGTGGCTGAAAGATCTGAAGATGAACCACATCACAGGACTCTTTGTATCGACTCCCCAGCACCAGCCAGAGCCTGGTAGCTCTGCTGGGTGGTTAGACCCAGAACAAAAACAATCACTACAGTTTAGCTCTCAGGAAGCCCCACCCCTAAGGGAAGGGGGAGATCACCACATCAAGGGAACAACCGGTGGGACAAAAGAATCTGAACAGCAGCCCTTGAGTCTCATATCTTCCCTCTGACATAGTCTACCCAAATGAGAAGGAACCAGAATAACAATCCTGGTAATACGACAAAATGAGTTTTTTTTTTAACACACCCAATAGATCACCCCAGCTCAATAGCAATGGATCCAAACCAAGATGAAATCTCTGAATTGCAAAAAGAAAAAAAATTCAGAAGGTTGATTATTAAACTAATCAAGGAGGCACCAGAGAAAGGTGAAGTCCAGCTTAAAGAAATGAAAAACATGATACAGAAGATGAAAGGAAAAATCTTCAGTGAAATAACATCAATACAAAACAATCACAACTTCTGGAAATCAAGGACACACTTAGAGAAATGCAAAATGCACTTGAAAGTCTTGACAATAGAATTGAACAAGCAGAAGACAGAACTTCAGAGCTCGAAGACAAGGCTTTTGAATTAACCCAATCCCTCAAAGACAAAAAAGAATTTTAAAAAATCAACAAAGCCTCCGAGGAGTTTGGGACTATGTTAAACATGAAAATCTAAGAATAATTGGAGTTTTTGAGGAAGAAGAGAAGTCTAAAAGTATGGAAAACCTCTCTGAGGTAATAATCGAGAAAAACTTCCCTAGGCTTGCTAGAGATCTAGAAATCCAAATAGAAGTTCAAAGAACACCTGGGAAATTCATCACAAAAAGATTATCACCTAGGCACATAGTCATCAGGTTATCTAAAGTCAAGATGAAGGAAAGAATCTTAAGAGCTGTGAGGCAAAAGCATCAGGTAACCTATAAAGGAAAACCTATCAGAGTAACAGAAGATTTATCAGCAGAAATCCTACAAGCTACAAGGGTTTGTGGTCCTATTTTTAGCCTCCTTTATTAAACAAAACTATTATCAGCCAATAATATTCTATCCAGAGAAACAAAGCTTCATAAATGAAGAAAAAATAGTCGTTTCCAGAAAAACAAATACTGAGAGAATTCACCACTACCAAGCTAGCACTACAACAAATGCTAAAAAGACCTGTAAATCTTGAAAGAAATCCTTGAAATACACCAAAATAAAATGTCCTTAAAGCATAAATCTCACAGGACCTATATAACAATAACACAAAGAAAGCAAACAAGGTATTCAGGCAACAAATAGTATAATCAATAGAATAGTATCTCACATCTCATACTGATGTTGAATGTAGGTGGCCTAAGTGCTCCACTTAAAAGATACAGACTGGCAGAATGAATAAGAATTCACCAAAATTTCTGCTATCTTCAAAAGCATCACCTAAAGATTCACATAAACTTAAAATAAAGGGGTGGAAAAAGATATTCCATGCAAAAGGACACCAAAAGTGATCAGAAGTAGCTATTCTTATATCAGACAAAACAAACTTTAAAGCAACAGCAGTTTAAAAAGACAAAGAGGGACAATATATAATGACAAAAGGACTAGTCCAAGAAGAAAATATTACAATCCTAAATATATATGCACCTAACACTGGAGTTCCCAAATTTATAAAACAATTTACTACTAGCCATAAGAAATGAATTACACAGCACCACAATAATAGTGGGGGACTTTAATACTCCACGGACACCACTAGAGAGATCATCAAGACACAAAGTCAATAAAGAAACAATGGACTAAAACTATATTCTACAACAAATTTAACAGATATTTACAGAACATTTTACTCAAAACCTACAGAATATACATTCTATTCATTAGCACATGGAACATTTTCCAAAATATGGTAGGCCACATAACAAGTCTCAGTAAATTTAAGAAAATTGAAATTATATTAAGTACTCTCTCAGATCATAGTGGAATAAAATTGGAACTCAACTCCAAAAGGAACACTGAAAACCATGCAAATACCTGGAAATTAAATAACCTGTTCTTGAATGATCACTGGGTCAACAATATAATCAAGAAAGGAATTTAAAATTCCTTTGAATGGAACAATAATAGTGCCACAACCTATCAAAACCTCTGGGATATAGCAAAAGTGGTGCTGAGATGAAAGTTCATAGCATTAAATGCCTGAAAGAGCACAAATAGACAATCTAAGGTCACATCTCATGGAACTGGATAAACAAGAACAATCCAAACCCAAACCCAGCAGAAGAAAATAAATAATAAAGATTAGAGTAGAACTGAATGAAATTGAAACAAACAAAAAATACAAAAGATAAATGAAACAAAAAGCTGGTTCTTTGAAAAGATAAATAAAATTGATAGACCATTAGCAAGAATAACCAAGAAAAAAGAGAAAGTACAAATAAGTTTAATTAGAAATAAACAGGAAATATTACTAATGATACCACAGAAATACAAAAGATTATTAAAGTCTACTATGAACACCTTTATGTGCATAAACTAGAAAACCTAGAAGAGATGGATAAACTCCTAGAAATATACAACCCTCCTAGATTAAACCAGGAAGATATAGAAACTCTGAACAGACTGATAACAAGCAACAAGATTAAAATTGTATAAAAAATATTGCCAACCAAAGAAAATCCAGGACCAGACGAATTCACAGCTGAATTCTATCACACATTCAAAGCAGAATTGATACCAATCCTATTGGCACTATTCCACAGGATAAAGAGGAAATCCTCCCTAAATCATTATATGAAGCCAGTATAACCCTAATACCAAAATCAGGGAAGAACATAACAAAAAAAGAAAACTACAGACCAATAACCCTGTTGAACATATATATACAAATCCTCAACAAAATACTAGCTAACAAAATCCAATAGCATATCAAAATAATAATCCACCATGATCAAGTGGGTTTCATACCAGGAATCCAGGAATGGCTTAACATATGCAAGTCAAGAAATGTGATACAACACATAAACAGAATTAAAAACAGAAATCACATGATCATCTCAATAGATGCAGAAAAAGCATTTGACAAAATTCAGCATCCGTTTATGATTAAAACCCTTAGCTAAATTGGCATAGAAGGGACATATCTTAAGGTAATAACAGGCATCTATGACAAACCCACAGCCAACATTATACTGAATGGGGAAAAGTTGAAAGCATTCTCCCTGAGAACTGGAACAAGACAAGGATGACCACTCTCACCACTCCTCTTCAAAATAGTACTGGAAGTCCTAGCCAGAGCAATTGGATAAGAGAAAGAAATCAAGAGTATCCAAATTAGTAAAGAGGAAGTCAAACTGTGGCTGTTTGCTGATGATATACATCTATACCTAGAAAACCCTAAAGACTCACTCAAAAAGCTCCCAGAACTGGTAAATGAAATTAAGCAAAGTTCAGCATACAAAATTAATGTACACAAATCAGTAGCCCTGCCATGCACTAACATGAGCAAGCTGAGAATCAGATCAAGAATGCAACCTCTTCCACTATAGCTGACAAAAAAAAAAAAAAAAAAAAAAAAATCAGGAATATACTTAACCAAGGAGGTGAAAGACCTCTATAAGGAAAACTACAGAACATTGCTGAAAGAAGTCATAGATGATACAAACAAATGGAAACACATTCCATGCCCATGGATAGATAGAATCAATAATGTGAAAATGATCATACTGCTAAAACCAATCTACAAATTCAATGCAATGACCATCAAAATACCACCATCATTCTTCACAGACAGAGAAAAAACAATCCTAAAATTCATATGGAACCAAAAAGAGCCACATAGCCAAAAGACTAAGCTAAAATAACAAACGCAAAGGCATCACATCACCCAACTTCAAACTATACTATAAGGCCATAGTCACCAAAACAGCATGGTACTGATATAAAAATAGGCATAAGGACCAATGGAACAGAACAGAGAACCCAGAAATAAACCCACAGTCAAGAGATCTTCACAGAGCCAACAAAAACATGGAGTGGGGAAAGGACACCCTATTCAACAAATGGTGTTGAGATAATTGACAAGCCACATGTAGAAGAATGAAACTGGATCCTCTTCTCTCACCTTTTACAAAAATCAACTCAATATAGATCAAAGACTTAAATCTAAGACCTGAAACCGTAAAAATTCTAGAAGATAACATTGGAAAAACCCTTCTAGACATTGGCTTAGGCAAAGACTTCCTGACCAAAAACCCAAAAGCAAATGCAACAAAAAGAAAACTAAATAGATGGGACTTAATTAAACTAAAAACATTCTGCAGAGCAAAAGAAATAATCAGCAGAGTTAACAGACAACCCACAGAGTGGAAGAAAATCTTGACAATCTATACATTCGACAAAACACTAATATCTGGAATCTACAACGAACTCAAACAAATCAGCAAGTAAAAAACAAACAATTCCATCAAAAAGTGGTCTAAGTACATGAATAGACAATTCTCAAAAGAAGGTACACAGATGGCCTACCAGCATATGGAAAAATGATCACATCACTAATTATTTAGAACATTCAAATTGAAACCACAATACCACCTCACTTCTGCAAGAGTGGCCATAATCAAAAAATGAAAAAAATAATAGATGTTGGCATAGATGTGGTGACAAGGGAACACTTTTAACACTGGCTGGGAATGTAAACTAGTACAAACACTATGGAAAACATTGTGAAGTTTCCTTAAAGAACTAAAAGTATATCTACCATTTGACCCAGCAATTCCATTACTAGGTGTCTACCCAGAGAAAAAGAAGTCATTATATGCAAAAGATACTTGCACATGGTTGTTTATAACAGCACTATTCACAATTGCAAAAATATGGAACCAGCCCAAATGCCCATCAATCAATGAGTGGATAAAGAAAATGTGATGTAATACCATGAAATACTACTCAGCCATAAAAAGGAATGAAATAATGGCATTCGCAGCAACCTGGATGAAATTAGAGACCATTATTTTAAGTGAAGTAACTCAGGAATGGAAAACCAAACATTGTATGTTCTCACTCATAAGTGGGAGCTAAGCTATGAGGATGCAAAGACATAAGAAGGATACAGTGGACTTTGGGGACTTGGGGAAAGGGTGGGATGGGGTGAGGAATAAAATTCTACCAGTTGGGTAAAGTGTATACTACTTGGATCATGGGTACACCAAAATCTCAGAAATCACAACTAAATAACTTATTCATACAACCAAACATCACCTGTTCCCCCAAAACCTATAAAAATAAAAATAATTAAAAAACTATCATCAGAGTGAACAGAAAACCTACAAAATGGGAGAAAAATGTTGCAATCTCTCCATCTGACAAAGGTCTGGTATCCAGAGTCTACAAGAAACTTAAATAAATTTACAAGAAAAAAGCAGACAACCCACTAAAAAGTGGGCAAAGAACATGAACAGACACTTCTTAAAAGAAGACACTCACAAGACCAACAAGCATATTAAAAAAAGCTCAACATCACAAATCATTAGAGAAATGCAAATCAAAACCACAGTGAGAAACCATCTCATGCCAGTCGGAATGGCAATTATTGAAAAGTCCAGAAACAACAGATGCTGGCGAGGTAGCAGAGAAAAAGAAATGCTTTTACACTGTTGTTGGGAGTGTAAATTAGTTCAACCATTGTGGAAGACACTGTGGTAATTCCTCAAAGATCTAGAGGCAGAAATAGCATGTGACCTAGCAATCCCATTACTGGGTATATACCCAAATGAATATAAATTATTCTATTATAAAGATACATTCACTTGTATGTTCATTGCAGCACTATTTACAATAGCAAAGACACAGAATCAATCCAAATGTCCATCAGTGATAGACTATATAAAGAAAATGTGGTACATACTCACCATGGAATACTATGCAGCCTTAAAAAGGAATGAGATCATGTCCTTTGCAGGGACATGGATGGAGCTGGAAGCTGTTACCCTCAGCAAATTCATGCAGGAATAGAAAACCAAACACCACATGATCTCACTTACAAGTGGGGGCTGAATGATGAGAACATAAGGACACACGGGTGTGGGAACAACACTTACTGGGGTTAGTCGAAGGGAGGGGTGAGGGGAGGTAGAGCATCAGGAAAAACAACCAATGGATACTGGGCTTAATACTAAGGTGATGGGTTGATCTGTGTAGCAAGCCGCCATAGCACACATTTGCCTATGTAACAAACTTGCACATCCTGCACATGTACCCTGGAACTTAAAAGTTGAAGGAAAAAAAATTAAAAAAAGGACTTCCATATAATCCAGCAATCCCACTTCTGTGTAGATATCCCATAAATTGAAACCAAGATCTCAAAGAGATATCTGCATCTCCCTAGTCACTGCAGCATTATTCACAACAAGCAAGCTATTAAGAAAACCCAAATGTTCATTAAATGTTAAATAGATTTTTTTTTTACAATGTGTTGTATCCATGCATGGACTATGATTCAGCCAAAAAAAAAAAAAGAAATCTTTTCATTTGTGACAACATGAATTTATAGCATTCAATGCATATATTAGATAAACAAGAAAAATATAAAATCCATAATCTAAAGTCCAACCTTAAGAAACTAGAATAGGAAGAGCAAATTAAATCCAAAATGAGCAGAAAAAAAGAAATAATAAAAATTAGAGCAGAAATCAATAAAATTTTAAAAAGAAAATCAATTTAGAAAATCAATGAAACCCAACACTTTTTTTTGACAAGCCTCTAGCAAGGCAAACAAATAAAAGAAAGCATATAATTAACTAAGATCATAAATGTAAGTAGGAACACCGTAAATATCCCATGAATATTAAAAGAATAATAAAATGCTATGAATAACTTTTTGTTCATAAATTTGATAACCTAGATGATATGGAATGATTCCTTGAAAGATGCATTTTGATAGCTATCACACAAGAGTAAATAGACAATCTAAATAGGTCTACATCTATTAAAGAAATCTAATCAATAATTAGTAACTCTCCAAAACAAAGCAAAGGGATCAAGTAGGTTCACTGATAAATTTTATCGAACAGCTTAGGGAGAAATCATACCAAGTCAAACTTTCTTTTAGCAGATAGAAGCAGAGGGTATTGTCCTAACTTATTCCATGAATCCATATAATTATATGCTGGATTATACCCAAAGACAGTACAAGAAAACTACAGACCAGTATCTCTCATGTACATTGATGAAAAAACCCTAAACAAAATATGATCAAATTTAACCTAACAATGTACAAAAAAAAGTATATACCACAACCAGGTTGGATTTATTCCAGGTATGCCAAGCTATTTGAACATTTGAAAATCAGTTAATGCAATCCATCACATCCACACGCTAAAGAAGTAAAATCATATGAAAATATCATAGACGGAGTAACAGCATATGATAAAATTCATAAACTCCACTAATACCTTGGGGACACTATTGTATAAGAGTAGAAATATGGTACTACTAAAATTCCCTACAGAAAAGTAAGTGAGCCAAATAAATTGACGAAGAAGGAAGAGGAAAAGGTGAAGAAAGAGGAGGAGGAGGAGAAGAAGGACAAAGAGGAGGAGAAGAAAGACGGGAAGAAGGAGGGGAAGGAAAGAGGATCATAAGGAGGAGAAGAAAGACGGGAAGAAGGAGGGGAAGGAAAGAGGATCATAAGGAGGAGAAGGCGAAACATTAACATTTATTGAACGCTTACTTATTATGTGCCAAGTATTGTCTTAAGGACTTAACATATGTTCATCATAAAATGCTTTTAATAACCCTATGAGGAAGGTACTATTATTATACCCCAATATGATCAGTACTTCAAAAAAGTGATACATAGTAAATAAACCATATGATATGTTTTCATAATAGATACATGATGTATTAATATTATCTTTATATAGCTGCCCTATAGAAAAACTGAACCTAGGAAAATTACCTGTCTTGTTCTTTTAAATGCCTATAATTTTGTGGCAAATTAAACTGAGGCTTTATAAGTCAAATAGTGATAAACTAACATCAAACATTTGTTTTTAAACTTGTTAAAAATTTAAGAAAAAAGTTGTAATTGACCTTTTAAAGTTGAATTTGAAGTTGTTACCCAAAATAAAATTTAGTAGTTTTAATCTATCCATATTAAAGTTACAGTGAAAAACTGGTAGAAATTTATTAATAAAATATCAGTATTAAAGCTCAACATCTTGAATCACAAAATTTGATTACAAGTCATAACTGAGAAATGCTTATTGAATTTGTCAGGGATTATAAGATTCCCATAATGGTATCTATTATTTGAAATATGTAAAGTTCAGTTTGATACTAAAGTATGGTGTCTAATAATCTTAACACATTTAATATATTCAATTAAAATTTAATAAATATTTATTCAAGATTTACTCGTTTAAAATTTACCTCAAAATCAATACTCATAAATATTTAGTAATTATTTTTGATGCATTTGTATAGATTTTTTGATATGATGCTTATTAGTTTTCATTAATAAAGCAAAATTATAGGCAGGTTATATCTAAATTTTTAAAAATGAATGCTGCTTTTCTGATGACAGTAATGAAAAACAGAAAGATGTAATGATATAACTGGTAGTTGGTTATAAGAGACTCTACCAGAAACAAAAAGAAAAATTCTGATGCTTAATTTGTTGTGAACATAATTACCTTTGTTCAAACAAATGATGAACAAAAGTAGAGGAATTGATGCATTGCCAAATACTGCTTTTCCCCAAGATAAAATATTTTTTTACAAAAAGAAATTACATATTCTAGGCTGCTCAACTCTAGCTGTGATAATATCAGTTACCCATATGGGGTAGACCAGAAAGAAATGTGTTTTGTCTTTGTTGCTGTTGTTTCTAATTTGAATGACAAACGTTCACTCATAACATACATTGGCATATGTTACTTTGGAAAAGCCACGGCTGTGACTTTTCAATGCCAAAACAATCGTATGACAATGAATGATATAGTCAATGAGCTAGTCGTTTCATATTCATGACGCCCAGCTCCCTGACTAATTGGTTGACTCAATTCATTGGTTTTATTTCCTCTGTATAAACAAAGCTTGTGAAAAAAAAAATCACTGGCTGCCACAATGAAAGTATTTTTACAACTCCTGCCATAACTAAATTAGAAAAGAAGGCATAGTGGTTTGATCCTATAGCTAGTCAAACTCTCCAGAAGTAATGAATTTTGATAAACCATGACTAAGTTTCCTCAAGACAGAGACAGTTAACATTCCCAATTTTTCTATTGTGTATTAACCGTAGACACAGAAGCTAAAATACGCACACACAAACACACACACACACACACACACACAAACTGAAGGTAAAAATAGAAGAATATTTGTGTTTTGTTTCTATGATCTTTCCACTAATATATTTATTTCTAAGCATGGCTGAAGAGACATTTAAAAAATAAATTATTTTTTCATTTTTTGTGGGTACATAGTAGGTGTATATATTTATGGGGTACATGAGATGTTTTTATACAGGCATGCAAGGTGAAATAAACACATTATGAAGAATGGGGTATCCATCCCCTCAAGCATTTGTCCTTTGAGTTACAAACAATTCAATTACATTCTTTATTTTCAAATATACAATTAACTTATTATTAGCTATAGTCACCCTATTGTAATATCAAATAGTAGTTTTTCTTTCTAACTTTTTGTACCCATAACCATCTCTGCCTTTCCCTGCAAATCCCTTCTACCTTTCCCCACCTCTGGTAACCATCCATCTACTCTCCATGACCTTGAGTTCAATTGTTTGTATTTTTAGATTCCACAAATAAGTGAGAACATGTGACATTTGTCTTTCTGTTCCTGGCTTATTTCACTTAGCATAGTTATCACCAGACCCATCCATGATATTGTAAATGACTGGATCTCATTCTTTTTTATGGCTGAATAGTATTCTATTATGTATTTGTATCTCACTTTATTTATCCATTCATCTGTTGATGAACACTTAAGTGGCTTCCAAATATTAGCTATTGTAAACATTTTTGCAATAAACATAGGAGTGCAGATATCTCTTTGATATACTTATTTCCTTTCTTTTGGATATATACCCAGCAGTCAGATTGCTGGATCATATGGTAGCTCAATTTTTATTTTTGTGAGGAACCTCCAAACTGTTCTTCATAGTGGTTGAACTAATTTACTTTCCCACCAAGAGTGTACTAGGGATCCCCTTTCTCCACATCCTCGCCAGTATTTGCTATTGTCTGTCTTTTGGATATAAGCGATTCTAACTGGAGTGAGATGATACCTCATTGTAGTTTTGATTGCATTTCTTCATCAGTGATGTGGAGCACCTTTTAATATGCCTTTTTGTCATTTGTATGTCTTCCTTTGAGAAATGTCTATTCAAATCTTTTGCCCATTTTTTATTGGATTATTAGATATTTTCCTGTAGAGTTGTTTGAGCACCTTATGTATTCTGGTTATCAATTCCTTGTTAGATGAGCAGGTTGCATATATTTTCTCTCATTCTCTGGGTTGTATTTTTACTTTGTCCATTGTATTCTTTGATGTGCATAAGATTTAAAACTTGATGTGATCCCATTTGTCTATGTTTGCTTTGTTTGCCTGTGCTTGTAGAATATTGCTTAAGAAGTCTTTGCCCAGATCAATCTCCTGGAGATTTTCCCTAATGCTTTAATGTAGCACTTTTATAGTTTGAGGTCTTACATTTAAGTCTTGGTGGTCATTTTGATTTGATTTTGGTATACTGCAAGAGGTAGAGGTCTACTTTTTCTTTTGCATATGGCTAATCAGTTTTCCCAGCATCATTTGTTGAAGAGACCATCTTTTCCCCAGTGTATGTTCTTGGCACCTTTGTCAAACATGAGTTCAGTGTAGGTGTGTGGATTTGTTTCTGGGTTCTCTACTCTGTTCCATTGGTCTGTGTGTCTGTTTTTATGACATTACCATGCTGTTTTGGTAACTATAGCTCTGTTGTACAATATGAATTCAGGTAATGGGATTCCTCCGGTTTTTTTGTTTGTTTGTTTTGTTTTGTTTTGTTTTGTTTTTTGAGATGGAATCTCACTCTGTTGCCCAAGCTGGAGTGCAGTGGCGGAATCTCGGTTCACTGCAAACTCTGCCTCCCAGGTTCACGCCATTCTTCTGCCTCAGCCTCCTGAGTAGCTGGGACTACAGGCGCCCACCACCATGCCCGGCTAATTTTTTGTATTTTTAGTAGAGATGGGGTTTCACTGTGTTAGCCACGATGGTCTCGATCTCCTGACCTCGTGATCCGCCCGCCTCGGCCTCCCAAAGTGCTGGGATTACAGGCCTGAGCCACCACGCCCTGCCGGGATTCCTCCAGTTTTGTTCTTCTTGCTTAGGATACCTTTGGCTACTCTGGGACTTTTATGGTTCCCTATATGTTTTAGAATGGTTTCTTTTCTATTTCTGTGTAGACTGTCATTGGTATTTTGAGAGGGATTGCATTGAATCTCTAGATTGCTTTGGAGAGTATGGCTATTTTAACAATATTGATTCTTCCAATACATGAACATGGAATATTTTTTATTTTTTTGTGTGTTTCCCTTTCAATTTCCTTCATCCGTGTTTTATAGTTTTCAATATAGAGACCTTTCACTTATTTGGTTAAGTTAATTCCTAGGTATTTAATTTTATGTGTGACTATTGTAAATGGATTACTTTTTATTTGTCTTTCACATTGTTCACTTTTGGCATATAGAAATGCTGTTGATTTTTGTATGTTGATTTTGTATCCTATAACTTCTTCGAGTTTATCCATTCTAACAGTTTTCTTGTGGAGTCTTTAGGTTATTCCAAATATAAGATCATATCATCCTCAAGGATAATTTAACTCTTTGATTTCTGATGTGGATGCCATTTATAGCTTTCTTTTGTTTGATTGCTGTAGCTAAAAATTCCAATATTATTAATATGTTGAACAACAGTGGCAACTGGGCATCGTTGTCATGTTCCAGATCTTAGAGAAAAGGCTTTCAGTTTTTCCCCATTCACTACGATAATAGCTGTGGGTCTGTCATATATGGCTTTTTAATAAAAAACATAGATATATTCCTTCTATCCCTAGTTTTTTGAAGGTTTTAATTATGAAAAGATGTTGAA